>NW_025791768.1:0-174385 GCF_000001405.40 Homo sapiens
GAATTCAACAGCATATTAAACTGATTATACACCGTGTCCAACTGTGTTTATTCCAGGAATCCAAGGATGGTTCAATATAAAAATTTATCAATGTAATACACCACATTAACAGAGTGAAAGGAAAAAAAATATAATTATCTCAATTGATGTAGAAAAAGCTTTTGACAAAATTGAACACCATTTTATGTTAAAACATTCAATAAACTAGGAGTAGAAGAAAACTATCTTAACGTAACAAAAGCTAAATATGAAAAACCAACAGCAAATATCATGTTCAATGGTAAAAGACTGAAAGCTTTTCCTCTAAGATCAGGAACATCCCTGCAAGCAAGAATGCCTGCTTGCAGCACTTCTATTCAACATGGCTTTGGAAATTCTATCCAGGTCAATGAGGCAATGAAAAGAAATAAAAGGCAACAAAATTGGAAAGGAAGAAGTTAAATTGTCATGTGTGTTTGCAGATGATTGATCTTATATATAAAAAACCCTAGAGATTTCCTACAAAAAATGTAAAATTAATAAACAATTTCAGCAAAGTAGCAGGATACAAAGTTAACACACAAAAATTAGTAGCATTCCTACATACAAAGAATGAACAATCTGCAAAGAAAATTAAGAAAATTATTTCGTATATAGTAGCATCAAAAAGAATAAAATAATTCAGAATTAATTTAAACAAGGGGATAGAAAACCTGTACAATGACAACTATAATACATTGTTGAAAGAATTAAAGAATACATAAATAAGTGGAAATGCACCTTATGTTCAAGGATCGGAAGAAGACTTAATATTGTTAAGATATCAATATCATTCAAAGCAACCTACATATTCAATGTGATTCCCATCAAATTTCCAATGACTTTTTTTGCAGAATAGAAAAATCCATCCTATAATGTATATGGAATCTCAATGAATGTCAAATAGCCAAAACAATCTTGAAAATGAACAAAACTAAACAACTCACACTTACAACAAAGTTACAGTACTCAAAACAGTGTGATATTGGGATAAAAACAGACATATACACAAAGAAACATAATAGAGAGCCCAGAAATAAACCTTAATATATATGATAAAATAATTTTGACAAAGGTGGCAAGACCATTCAGTGGTTAAAGGGGAATCTTTAAACAAATGGTTCTAGGAAAGCTGGATATCTTAATGCGAAAGATAGAAGTTGGACCTGTACTTAACACTGTATAAAAAAATTAACTCAAAATAGATCAAAGACCTAAGTGTAACACTTAAATCTATAAAATTCTTAGAAGAAAACATAGGATGATAGATTTACAGTGTTAGATTTTGCAGTGATTTCTTGGATACGGCAACAAAGGCACATGAAACAACCAAAAAAATTGATGAGTTACATTTTATGAAAAATTTTAAAAATTGTATGTCAAAAGACACTGTTAACAAAGTAAGAATGCAAACTATATGAGAAAATATTTTTAAGTATGTATTTGCTAAGGGATTAATATTAAGAATATATAGAAAACTTTTAGCTTTCAACAAGAAACAAACAACCTGATTAAAAAATGAGCAAAGAACTTGAATAGACATTTCTGCAAAGAAGTTATGCAAATGGCCTATAAACATAAGAAAAAACACTCAACATCCCTAATTATTAGGAAAAGGCAAGTCAGAACTACAATGAGATACCACCTCATACCTCATACCTACGAGGAAGGCTACTATTGAAAAAACAAACAAAAAAAAACAAGTATTGGTGAAGATATGAATGAACTGGAATCCTTGTGTACCATTAGTGGGAAAGTAAAATGGTACAGCTGTGTGGAAAACAGTGTTATGTTTTCTCAAAAAAATTAAAAAATAGAATTGCCATCTGATACAGCAATTCAGCCCTGGGTATAGCTATCTAAAAGAATTGAAAGCGGGATTGCTAAAAGATATTTTTAGATGTCTCTTCATAATAGCTAAAAGATAGACGCAATCTAAGCATTCATCAAGAGATGAATGGCTAAACCAAATGTGATATATACATCCAATGGACTATATTCAGCTTTAAAATGAAAAATATTCTGACAATATAGATTAACTTTGAAGACATTATTGTAAATAAAATAAGCCAATCACAAAAATACAAATACTGAATGATTCTATTAATATGAGGTACTTAGAATACTCAAAATCATAGAGAGAAAATAGAATGATGGTTGTAGGGCTTTTTGGGGTGGGATGGAATAGGGAGTTATTGTTTAATGGGTATAGTGTTTCAGTTTTGCAAGATGAAAAGAGTTCTCGAGATGGTTTTTGGTGATGATTGCACAATAATATGAATGTACTTATTACCACTAAACCGTATAGTTAAAAAAGGTTAAAATGGTAAATTTCTTGTTTTTTATATTTTATAACAATAAAAAATTAAGAAAAATATAGTCACTCCACTGTTCCTTTGGGTCAGCTACTTCAGGGTGATAAAGAATAAGGTAACTCTTAGGGAGTTCATAAGAATGAGCCAATGCCACAGTTTATTTGGTCTCAAATGAGTTCCTCAGTCAAAAGCAATGCTGTGTGTGATGCCATAATGACAAATAAGGATGGTGAGTTTGGAAGAAGCATTGTAGGTAGTGAGAAAGGCAAATCTGTATCCCGGGTAAATGTATCTCCAGTGGTAGCAAAGATCTGCTTAAGCCTAATCTTTATACTACTTCCATTTGATGAACGAATGCTGCTCTGCATACCTACATTCATGACTGTGTGGGTCAGAAAAGATCAAGTTCATGATGGGTTACTCAGATTGCATGGTAACTTAGTGGCCCATGGTTAAATATTCAGTCCTCACTAAGGGTGAGTAGCAAGCCTGAAGCTGCTTTTTAAAAGGAGAACATTTATCTGCAGTGTATGGCAAAGCTTTGCTTCTAAATCCCAAGGCTCTGTGCTAAGATTCACATATAGAAGTCTGACAAAGACTCTTTACAGCATTCTTATCTGCCACAGACACTTCAAGCGCTATACGATCTTCCAGGTCTCATGGACTAAGTGGCAGAGGAGCTTGCATGGCTCTCTATACCTGTTGCAGAGCCTTTCTTGTTCTGGGCCTTTGTCCTGGCAGCTTCTTAGGTTGCTTGATGAATGGAATAGCATGCTCAAAGTATATATGACCTCCAAAATCCAAAAAGACACATAAGCGTTGTAGTTCTTAATTAATGGTAAGAGGGGCAGGAGGCACAACTTATTCTTCTTGGAAGGCATATCTTGATATACCACAGACCACTAGACACCTAGAAATTTCATTTGAGGTGGCAGGTTCCTAAATTTTTGTAGGATTTATTTCCTATCTTCTGGAACACATCTACTTCCAAGATAAATAACCAACATTTACTTAGCAATTATTAGGTATCCACATTCATTATCTCATTTAATTTTCTCAGCTACTCTGAGGGAAGGACTGTTAGTATCTTCATTTTTCTGTATAAGGAAAATAAGTCTCATTAAGACTGTGTCTTGGCCCAAAGCTGTGAAGCTAGTAATTCTTCACGTGGTTAGAATCTGATAAACTCTGATGTTAGAAGCTAAAATAGCTGCCAGGTCTGAGATCAGAGAAAAACTACCATTTATTCCCTCTATACTACCATCTCCTAGTAATAATATAATAGACCTGCATCATGTACTATGGAAGAGAAAGGCTATCAAAGACTCTAAGGACTAGATTATGACATAGGGCTGGGAGGTTAGTCCTGGGCAGACTAATAAAGTTTATTGTTGGCCTTATCAGCTAAAGGTCACTGTTTTTGATGGCCTCTACTAATTAGTATAGACAAAAAGCATTTATGAGATCAACTGCTGCATACAAGTTACCAGGGGATGTGTTGATTTGCTCCAACAATAAAACAACATACACAGCTGAAGTTACCACAAGATTAAATTTTCAATAATCCACTGTCATTCTCCAAGATCAATTGGTCTTTTGCATAGGCAAGTTGAGTGGGGACATAGAAGGCATCACTGCTCCTGCATCTTTCAATCCTTGATAGTGATATTAATCTCTGCAATTCCTCCAGGAACGTGGTATTAAATTTGGTTTACTATTTTGGCAGGAGGAGATGGTGATAATCATTTTCACTTGACTTTTCCTATAATAATAGCCCATATTCTACAGGTTAGAGAGCCAATGTGGGGATTCTGCTAGATGCTAGATATACCTATGCTAATTATGTACTCTAAAACAGGGGAAATAAACACAGGGTGTGATTGGTGACCCATTGGGTCCACTGTAAGTCAGAACTCAGTGAAGTTCCATTAATCATTCTACCTTCCTCACTATTCTGATTAGTAGACCAAAGCAGCATTCTGGGCATCTGGGAATTAAAGTAAGTTCATACCTGTTTCAGTAATCTTTGAAAAGTGTGATTAGTTTCTTTTCTCCAGTGCAATTTCCCCTGGTAAATAACTAAGCCACAAGTTCTTTTGGGAAAGGTTAAGAGAAAGACTTGTAGTGTAAATTTTGGCAATGTGGCAGCGTCTTTCCTCAATGGGGCTCAGCTGCCCCTTCATTCAAGAGGTAATGCACCCGTGAATTGGCCCCAAACTGGGAATTGGTTGATGGGCCATGACTCCATTTTGTACTCATTCAAGTCAGACTTTTGCTTCTCAGACCTAGAGAGTTTTACTAAGACATATCAAGTAAGATTTTAATAGTCTGTCCATTGATTTCAGTTCTAGGGACACCATTATCAACTTAACCAAAAATAAATCTGATCACTGCTTTGGATCTGCAGTTGGTTAAAACACCCACTACCACCTGGATCTTGGTGATAAAGTACCATCACTTGGCCCTGCTACTCTTGGAGCCCATCAGTCCCAGTGGATTTGGGGAACTTCATTTCAATGGCAATAATTTTCACTGTCAGTCCTCATGTAGTTAATGGATCTATCAGAGAGTTCTTCAAGGATGCAAGGGGACTGCTCATCAATATATTTTTCATAGCATTAGTGAAGAATGAGTCCTCTAGGGGATATACTAACAAGGCATGTTTTTACTTAATAACATCCACTCTAGCATCCTAGTTTTCTTAAGCCAATAGATATTTTCCTTTACAATATGCCAGGGGATTTTTAGCATTTCCATTTAACATAATTTAGGTCAATTTCATGTCCAGCTTTTAGTCAACCTAGCAAACAAGCTAGTAGGATTATTCCCAGATCCTCAGTCCAATATTATATATATTCCTTTCACCATTATCCAACAGCCTTAGGATCTATTCCCACACACATGGATTCTATTTATATAAATTGGAAAAATCATGCAATTATTTTGGTGTGTACTATAATTTTTTATAGGTCCTTTTGTGAACCTCATCTTCTGGGAGTCACTTGCTAGGATGTGATACTGGTTATAGCTGAGGAAGAGAAAAACCGTGGTGGAGATATGTCCTTAGGAGAATCAGAAGCCCTTGTAAGGAAAGAACATGGCAGGAAAACCAGTATAAGTTCACAAGAAAGAAGAAACGATCCTCCTCAAACAGGAAGGAAAGCTGCTTTTACTGAAAAAAATTTAGGCCAACCATGAATCTCATTTCTGTCACTACATCTTTCTGTTTTCTGGACATTTCATACAAAGGGATCATATATGTGGTCTTTTGTGACAAGATTCTTTCACTTAGCATAATGTTTTAAAGGCAAATTCATGCTGTAGCATGCGTCAGTACTTCATTCCTTTTAATGGCTGAATAATTTTCCATTGTTTATTTCAATAATAAGCCACATTTTGTTTATGCATTTGTCAGTTGATAGACATTTGGGTTGTTTCCACCTTTTATCTATAGTGAATAATGTTGCTATGAACATCCATGTACAAGTTTTTGTACACATTTGCCTATGTTTTGTTTGTATTTATCTTGGGTAGATATCTAAGAATAGAATTTCTGGGTCCTGTATTTCTACTAATCCTAAGAGATAACTAGTACAATCTCTGTTTCACTGAAAAAGAAACTGGGATTCAGAGGAGTTGGACTGCTAGTCATGTCGCAGAGCAAATAGAAAGTGAGATTAACACTCAGCGCTCTTTAAGTCCAGAGCTCACATTTCTCTATGCTTCTCTGCTGGGTGAGAGCACTGCAGATGCATCAACATTCATGCATGCCATGCAGACAACCCACAAGTGCAGACACACACAGTGATTGGAATGACATCAGATGTGGTTTAAGACAAGCCTGACTTCATCATAACTATTCTCTCCCTCACACCAACTCCCCTGCTAGAAATACACTTTCTAGCTGAATCTACCTCCCTTCTATGGATTTTTCATCTTTGTTTTTAGGGAGCAGAGTCAGATTTACTTTTCATATGAACTAGCCTTAGGGGCTATGCAGGGGAAGACACAACAGCATCCCTAATATTGGAATCTCTCTCTAAGACCTACAGGAATGAACACCCCTGAATATTGCCAGATATAGAGGCTTCCAATAGACCATCAGGCAACTCATTCCCCAGAGTCCCCATCTTTATTTCTCAGTATGGGCCACTACCTCTGTGCATACATGTAAGGGACTGAGGACTCTTTACCTGAAATATAACTCTTTAGGATTGACTACCATCTCCCCAACTAAGATGCAGAAATCATACAAACTTATGTATATTTTGTAAGAGCAAGCAGTTCAAAATTGGATTACCTTTCCACATTTTCATACAAAGTAGATTAATGTGCCCCTGTCTTTATTACATTTTCCACCCTTGTCATTTGTGATTAGGCCAACACTGTGAAGATGTATTATGGATTGGCTAAATGGGAACATTAAAACATTGGCTATATATCAGAGAAGCTCAAGCAAGTTGATGTGTGCTACACACACCCTTGGTAAAATATGTCTGAAATATTTCACGTCTTTTTGGACAGAGAAATTTTTCTACAGCACCAAAAGTAATAGGAAGTACAGAAGAAAGAAAAGAGAAGACATAGGGGAAAATACTAACTTTTGTTCTAGATAATGGAAGAGGTCTATTCTCCCTGCAATAATTTTGATATGGAATTTCTCATAGATGAGGCTCTTAAACCAAAATCATCACCTGGGTTTGGAGAAGAAGGAAAAACATGGGCTATAACCAAGATTCCTAGTTCACATAAGGAAGGGTGTTTGACCAGGCCCCCATCTTATTGTCTTGAGCTTATATTCCATCTCTTCTAGGTCATTCCTGCCCTGAGAGTACCTTAACGGCTCAGGCTTCTTATAGAAACAGCTAAACAGCTGAGAGGCAAATCGTGTATCTGTACAGGTGTCATCTCATTCTTAGTCACATGATGGATAATCTCCAGGCTGGAAGGCTCAGGCAATGGGATTAAGCAGTTCTGGTAGGAGAAAGAAGGGATCATGGCCAAAAAAATCTATTTCTAAGAAGAGGACAATCCTATTGCTCCCCTAAAAAGACTCCTACCTGTAACACACTCTTGCCTCTACTTCATAACTTCTTTCCCAAACATGTTCATGAGAGTAATTCTGGACAGCTCTGAGGCCTGCAGCTGCAGTACCTTTCCATGACAGGTTGCCCAGGCTGCAGAGCCAGTCTCTTTCTGGTCAGCTGTCACCTCTTCTGCTCTTCTGGCTCCCCTGGTGCCTTGAAGGGAAAAATAATGAATAGATCAGAGAAAGTCTCCCACTTCTTGACACTTTTTTCACCTTGCAAACATAATTCCATGAATATATCTTAGCCTGGGCCCATGGTCTGGGTCTGTGTAGGATGGTATAAATGCATCAGAAAAGGGCTTCTCTTTTTAATATTAGCATGGTTAGAGGAAAGCAAAGAGAGCGCAAAGCAGCTTCAAATTAAGCCAGGTTTTGTTGATGATGTTATGATGATCCTATATCTCTTATTCTAGTCTGGTTTTTTCCAGTTGTACTTTGTGATTGAATGCAGTGGAAACAACAGAGGTAGGGTCCTTATGCTAAAGAAATTTGTGGAGGAGCCAGACAAATAATACCAATAAATTGTTAGTTATGAAGAAGAAAATAAAACAGGGAGATATAATACAGTGAATTGAAGAGGCCAGTTTATCAATAGCAGAGAGGTGACTTTTGATGTAAATCTCAGCTAGATCCGAAATTGACTGGAGGGTTTGGGGCAGCAACCTGGTGGAGCCAACATTCTGAACATGAGTCCTCAGATAGAAGTCATGGTGGGCAAGGCTGAAGAACCTTGTTTCTAATGTATGGTAGGAATTGCAATTTCTCAAACATCAGTTGCCATTTCAATAGAGAATGAAAGAATTTGCTAAAAGCCTACTTGAAATATAGGATTGAATAAGGAATTCTGCACTTTAACCTGTTTTCCAACTGCATCTTTGAGAAGAGGACACAGAGATTCAATGATGAATTCAACAAATGTTGATTGAAACAGAAACAGTCACTATGGCATAGAGTTTTTAATGAGATGAAAGACACTGACAGTGAAATAATGGCAGAAGTATAGTTGACACTGTGAAATGTACTATAAAGGAAAATGAGAGTGTAGTCTAGGAATAGGTAAGAGGGGCATTAATTCTTATGTGGAATCTCAAGGAAGTCTTCCCCAAAGGATGTCATTTGAACTGACAGACTGGAGTTTGTGTGTTAACAAGGTGTTTTGCATAGGGTGGAGGTAGGGAGCTTCCTGGCAGAAGAAACTCTAAATGCAAAGATCTTGTGGCAGAAAGGAACAGGTTCTGTTTAGGAGCCTGGGAAAAGCTCGGACCGGGAGAGCACCAGATGGGTCTGGTGATGGAAGCAAGTGCTAGAATATAAAGAATCCTGTAGATGATGTGAAGTTAATTGATTTTTCATCCTAAGAACGATGGCAAGTTCTTGAAGAATTTTCACCTGGGGAGCCATAAGTTCATTTGCAGTTTTAAAAGGTCGTTCTGCGCAAGAGAAGAGTAGATATAGAAAAACAAATTAGGAGGCTATCTAGAGAGTTCAAATAAGAAATCATAGTGCCTTAGACTAATATGATAGCAGGACAGAAATGAAGATATTAATGATATATTTACAGGGTTAAACCCACAGGACTTGCTAATGTACCAGAATATAGCAAGAAAGATGTATCAAGGTTGATCCTTGATATGGTTAGGCTTTGTGTTCCCACCTGAGTCTCATCTTGAATTGTAATCCCCATAATCCCCAGGTGTCAAGGGAGCGACCAGGTGGAGGTAATTGAATCATGGGGGCAGTTTCCTCCACGCTGTTCTCGTGATAGTGAGTGAGTTCTCATGAGATCTGATAGTTTTATAAGGGGCTATCTCCCTTTGCTTGGCACTTCCTCCTTTCACCTTGCGAAGAAGGTGTCTTGTTTCCCGTTCAGCCTTCTGCCGTGATTGTAACTTTCCTGAGGCCTCGCCAGCCATGCTGAACTGTGAGTCAATTAAACCTCTTTCATTTATAAATTACCCAGTCTTGGGCAGTTCTTTATAGCAGTTTAAAAAATGGACTAATACAATCTGTAAGTGTTTTTAATTTTTTCTAATTTTTTTTAAACATTTTAATACAGTTGCAATGGTAGTAGTTCCTTTCCCTTGATAGAGAATAGGCAATGATAAATTTGGTGAAAGGAGACAAGCTGCATATTCTGTTGACAAATAATGGCTGTGAATTATTCTTAACTGGCTCAAGGATGAGAAGAGGAGGAATTGTGTGGGTGAGGAAGATTCTTTATGCAGCCAAAATAAACAACTTCAGACACAGGAGAAGCTAGGGGAGATTTCTGAAAATATTGTATTCTAAGTTCCAGAAGAAAATTGTAGGAAACTGTCTTTCTCCTTAGAGTGCGAGAGTATTCTTTATAAAATAGAAATTAAAACTATAAGGAGAGGTAGTAATGTGACGTGCTGGAGAGGTAACAGGTAACATCTTATGAAAAGAGAGATGAGGGAAGTTCTCAGGAAGTCTAAGAGCACAAAGAGGGTGATGAGGCAGAGGAGGTAGGTGTGATGATGCAGCAATTTAATCTGTCATGTAGAAAAACAATTTAGATATCTCAAAATTGGCTTGGCATGGTGGCTCACGCCTGTAATCCCAGCACTTTGGGAGGCTGAGGCGGGCAGATCACTTGAGGTCAGGAGTTCGAGACCTGCCTGGCCAACATGGTAAAACCTCATCACTACTGAAAAAAGAAATACAAAAATTAGCCTGGCATGATGGCACACACCGGTAATCCCAGCTTCTCAGGAGGCTGGGGCACCAGAATGGCTTGAACCTGGGAGGCGGAGGTTGCAGTGAGCAAAGATCGCATCACTGCACTCCAGCCTGGGTGACAGTGAGACTCCATCAATAAATAAATAAATAAATAAATAAATCTCAAAATGCAAAGCCATAGGGTAACAAAATTAAAAAAAAAAACATAGTGGGCAGGGAATGGCAACACAAGACTAATTAATTACCAAACAGGTAGCAGGGAGGGGAAAATACAAACATATTTTTTTCAACTGAAGAAAGACCTACGTAGATTGAAGAGTCTCACAACATTACAGGCATGATCAGCTAAATAAAATACCTACAAACTTACTAACAAAAATTTGAATTCATTAGCGGGGAAAAGACAAAACTAGAAATATAGTGTCTTAAAGTAATGAAATTATTGAATTTTTGCTCTTTAACACCAACAGTCAGATAATAGATGAGAATTGATAGGATTTTGAAGAAACATTTTTGTAAATTGAGATTATTTTATCCAGACTCCTTGATTTTTGTTTTATGTAGAAAGGTATAGGAAAACATTTTTAGATATGCAAAGGCTCAGATCTTCTATCAGCCAAGTACACTCAAAACATAAAGGTGTCTGTGTGTACATACCCATGCTCTTGAAGATATAGCCTTCTGATAAGGAGATGAAGAAGACATAGAAGCCAAAAGTAAGAAATGCAGATGTTACAAAGAGGTGGAAGAAAACCCATTTCAAATAAAAGTAAAAATATTTTATAACTAGTTATAAAACTAAGTCTAAACTTTAAAAAACATTGTCAAATCAATGATATATTAAAAATGACATATTTATAAATTTCAAGATTACACAGACAAAAAGAGAGAGAAGTATAGGAGAAAAGAAGATTCCATGTTATGAAAGGTTGGGGAACTAAAAACATTTTATTTTCTCTTACCGCCAATATCAAACATATGATTGAAACGACAGGGCTTGATTTTATTTTCCTGTCTCTCTTTTTGGAATAGGACAAACACTGCCCTTCTCTCCATTATGTTCTTCTATTTAGATCCTAAATTATGCTTCCAGGAAGTTCTTGACTCTGACTCGTATTGAGCTATACTGACAAAAGGTGAAAGTAGAAAGTTAGACAAATAAAATTTATACACTGTGAAGACCAGCACGATGACAAGACCTTTATAATATTAATACATTATTTTCATATAAACTGTAGTAAAGAGAGGCCCCATGACCTCATCCTTGTTCTGATGTTGTTTCTTAGCTAAAATATAAAAAATTGCATTTATACTATTTTAATTTATTCTTGTTAATTTCAGCCTAGTGCTCCCCCCCTCCATCAGGGCTCCCTTATCAGACTTTGGCTCCATCCCTCTTAGATTTGAACCATCTGGAGATTTGGCCAACAGCCACTTCTGCCTTCATCTAAACTCCTGTTTGGCAAACTTTAATCATTCAGAGACCAAAGTCACAATTTTCACACAATTTTTGACATACTTTGACATATTAACATGCAATAAATTTAATATTTTTCTTTAAATAATTTATATTTACATAAATTTATTTTAAAAGAAATTTTATAGCATAGATTTTATGTAAATCTCTATATAAACTCATTTTGGTCTGTGTGTCAAAACTCTCATCTGAGCCACCCACCAATAGTGCAATAGTACCTTTTAGGAACACACTGATTGTAGTCGTCAATATAATGGTAGGTAGGACCACAATGAAATGTGTATCTCATTTGTGATTCCACTTTCTGCTCTAAGGCCAGAGCTCCAGATAATATAGAAAGCCACAATTTAAGGCCATTGACTGATATAGTGAAGGCTGTGTGAAAGTTCTCTCACTCAGAGACATTTTTTAGTCTTGACATATTTGCATTGGCTTTAAAAAGTTCATATTATTTTACATAGTTTATTTGGCTCTTAGCATCTGATGCTAAAATTATTTCAGCTGAGCTTATATCTGACTCTACATTTCAATGGTCTTTCTGGAGACTATAAATTTTCTGATTTAGGTGCAAATATGCTTGGAGCAAATCATCTGAATCTATTTGCATTTTTAGTGAAAAATTCCAGACTCAATGATTTATCAAATTCAGTAGTGGTTTTGACCAATATGTGTATCACTCCATGCAATTAAAACAAGATAAAATATAATTTAATTTGTCATGCCAGTGGGGCATGAAAGAGTATTTTTTCTTTGTTTTAAATTCTGCCTTTGTCACCCCAAAATATCCCATATACATTAGGCTACAAGTTATTATTCAGATAAGATGATTAGTACAGTTTCTTTAAAATGGATTTAAATCTTTGGTAAGGATAGAAATGGTAATATTCAATGCAGAGATCAAAATGACAAGAGATAGTCATCTTCATTCTCCAGGGCACCATCTGATCACCAGCTGGGGTCAGAAAGAAATTTGTCTGGCCAAAGAAAAAGTGTCATATAATTCATTCCAATTGGTGCCTAATGCAAACACTTTCCTCTCTCAGACCCAGCAGGTGTGGGCGACTCTTAACGATGCATCATCCTATTTTTCTACAGTAATTTTTCTCCATTATATTATCATTCCTTCCTTTATCTACTCCCTGTCTCAGTGCCTCTTTCTTTCATTACTTTCCTTCTTCATGCTCTGCCCTTTTCCTCTCCCCCTTAACTAATGAATTGGATATGCATTTGGGCTTCAGAACTCTCACTCTCAGAAGCTCTGTCTGTCCCTTCACCTCTAATGGTGTGTTAGGCACCCACATCATCCTGCCATCATTTATTCTGTCCAGCTATTAATTCGCAGTAAAATTCTAGTGTCAATTGCAGAAGCCAGCTGCTGTTTGGACAATACTGTCAATGAGAGTGTAAAATGCAAAATGACAAGTTCCATTCTACCTAATGGGAGGTGTCAGCTTAAACAGGGTTTTCAATGTCTTGAAGTAGAGGTCAATTTCAGGAAAAATGTTTTCTCATAGGAATCCTTATGTTCATGGAACCTAAAGATAAATAGGCAAGGTTCTATATATGTGCTACAGAAATTTAAATCCATATTGAGGTAGACTATCTCATGTTTCATCACATGCCTTACATGGTACTGAGACATTTGGAATGTTATATTTAAGATTCCATTTCAAATATCATTGACGAAGACCAGCAGGCTAGTAGTAGTAATAGTGGTAGCAGCAGTAGTAGTAATATATTAATGCATTAACTTTTTTCTTTTGCATAGCTTCTTCAACTTTTAACATGTTATGTTTAGTAAACCTGTATCCAGTAAGCATTTATTATATGCTTGGGATCATGCTAGGTGAATTACATACTATTGCCAGTTTTTTATTTTTTGTACATAGAAAATGGCTGAACATTAGGCATTTCATGTGAGTCGACAATTTCCTATTTAATTGTCACAACAAAGCTGCGAGGTAATTATTAGTCCTATTCTATGTATGAAGAAACTAAGGATCAGAGTGTCTTTTGTGGAGTATGTAGCAGAGTAGGGCTTCAGACTCCAATTATGCATGTTTTCCTTACCCCTACACAAAGCGTTCCTCCAGTCTTCTTTTGTTACTCATAACATTTCTGTTTGTTAAACTAAAGTTTCAGGAAAGAACTCAGGATCCTTAATTTGCTGCTAATCCAGCACCGTGCAGATTGTGAACATTGAATGTGAACTCCTTTCATTGTTTCTGAACCCAGGATATTTCTTTTTTCTCCTCTTAAAAACATAGTTTCTAGGCACATATGTTCTAACAACAGGAAGTTTACTAGAGCCATTATGCTCTTACTTTAGGAATTCCTATGAGACAGGGACTATGGCGAGAACAAGGGTGCTTGGTCCCTTTGTACCAAGCATGCTTGTGGCAGACAGGCCACAGGTATACTTGCCTCACCTTTGATGATATGGCCCACAGCAAGGAAGACACCTCCAGCACAGAGGGCCTTTCATCAGTGAGCAAAGGTAGTACCTGGAGAACAAATCCTTCAAGACTGGTAAAGCTCTGTGTTCTTCCCAGATGGCCTCCCTGGAACCAAGCTGGGTGTTCTCCTGGCCAGTGAAATCTCTGGAGCTTACAAGCCATCAGCAAAGGGAAAATTGGAAAACCTTTTCACTGAAGCATTCACATACTACTGAAGCTCAGTTATGTACAGCTCGAACCAGGACTTGAACCTACCAGTGTCCAGAAACCATGCCCTTAGAGTTGGAGTAGTCAAAGTGGAGAAAAGACAAGTCCATATATCTAATTATTCACCTTCTAGAAAAAGCAGTCTTATTAAAATCTCTTGTATTATTTAGCCCAAGGTCCTAGGCCAAACAACTACCATTGTTCCACACTGCACCTGTTCTTCATCCTGGGTGGATTAGGAACTCTTAGTTTGCCATCATCTCCTTTCATGACAGTCTCAATCATTGCAGCCAAACACTTTAGAACCATTCGTGATTTTTGTAGCATACTCAGTTTTCCAAATGAATAATAAATATAATTCTGTCAACTATTTCGGGAACCCATGTATTATTTTTATTTTTTTTTCTGAGGGAAATAAGAAATCTATTTGCTTTTGCACAGTATATGGCAGTCAGAAGTACCTCATTCATTCACTTTTTATTCATTTGATGCATGAAAAAAAGGCATTAAATGTATTTCAGTGTGTCACCTCAAATTCTGTGCAGCGAACAGTGATGAATATGCTTGGTTCCTCAGCTGGGGTACTGTTTCATTTTTTTGTGACAATATCATTTGACAAGGCGATTCTGCATTGGCAATATTGTATCATATTTTTGTCTGCATGTAAATTATGTTGACAGTCTCATAAACATAAATTGGCAGGCATACTGTCCCAGAGCAATGTTTGTTAAAATACACTAATGGAATAGAATAAATAAATTTTTCCAAAGCATTAATAACACAGTGGTGTGTCACTGCATTGTGCAAGAAGTTCTATGGGATATGGTACTGTCTATGCTAAATTAATATCACATATATTTCTTTATATATATTTTATTCAATCTCATGCTTATGTTTATAGATTAGTCATTCCATTTCACAGAGCTTTGTATAATAGCGGTCACCCACTTGTGATATTTTTAAAGAAGTCAGCATCGTCTGTGGCAGATATCTATAATGGAACATGTGTAAGGTGCAATTCATGTCTGACATTGTTATTACGTTGCTTTGTTCCAGATAGGGCTTCCTCTTTCTCACCCGCCAACCCAAGGACACACACTTAGCAGGCCTCTATCCTGATGGAGCAGGCAGATTCTACAGTGGGCAGATCTAAAGCAGTGCCAAACAACTGGGCACATACTTCATTTATATTTTTGGACCACAAAGATAATTTCCCTTCCAGATGTCTGTGGACAGACAGGATGGGGCACTGGCAAAAGTATGAACTATTCCATACTTTTTCACTTCTTTAACTTACTAGAAATGTGACCTTTGGTAAAACCCAAAATCTCTTTGAGCCTCAATTACTGTATAACTGGAATAATCATGAATAAGGATAGATATCAACATTGAGATGTTGATTGTATTGCAATTGATGTGGTGTCTGGTTCATAACAGGCAAGGAGTATCTTAAAAGAATGAATGGAGGAAGATAAAATGAGAGAAAGACAGAAACAAATACAATGAATTTAGCAATTTTATTTGATCAGATGATGGAAAATTTATATGCTGTGTCTCCAAACATATAAATGCTTGGAGCATAGAGAAATGGATAAAATTTTGAATTTTTGCAGAGTCAAGTCAGAGTGTACATTGGATTCCACATGTACCCTGACTCATCTGCCTCCTGGATGGTAGCTCATGTACCCCTCTTTGGGTTTTCTAAATATCATCTTCCCTATTAACAGAGACCTGACACAGCTGTGACTTCTGATATTTGGGGAGAAAAGCTGAAGAACTAGGATTTTAAGATGAAAATTATAGGAAAGCAGTAGGGTTGGTCCCTAAGGGCCATGCCTGTGATCAGACTTGGGCCAGAATACTTGTATGGTTGTTGCCTCTAATATCTGTTGCTTCAGCTTTATCTGGTCTCTCTCAGCTTTTACCCTGAGACTTTACAGAAGCACATTGTAAACTATTCATCTAGAAGAAAACATGTTTGTACATCAGTGCTAAACAAAGAAGGTTAGCGAACACAGGTCTTGCATCAGATGCATAAAACCAAACCATGTAAATATATAGGTCATACAAGAGGAGAAAGTTCATATTTAATACACGGCTTCACTATAAGATATTATGTTTAAAGTTCAGTAACCACACTGATTAACCACAAAGATACGGTCCACCATATTGCTGTTATACCAGAGAGATTTTATCAAAGAGGTAAAATGTAAGAATTATTTATATGATTTAAGCAATAGTCAAGGCAAGAAATTATGAATGCTTAGACTAATATGGCAGCTATAGGTGAGAAAGTGAATGTGGGGACAGGTGGTGCTTCATAAAACTAAGAGGCAGGATTTTGTCAAATTAAACAGCAGGTATTATTGAGCACCTAATACTTATGAAACATTATGCTGGACTTATGAATAAACAGGAGAAGTTTAACATACCTTCTGTAGTTGTCAAGAGTTTACAATTCTATTGATGATATAAGCCTCACATATAAGCCAGTTCTTTATATATGTATATATGGTGGTCTCTTTTTATAGTTTGAGCCCAAAGCATTATTTAAAATCAATTTTTATTTTAAGTTCCAGGTACATGTGCAGGATGCACAGGTTTGTTACATAAGTAAATGTGTGCCATGGTAGTTTGCTTCACAGATCAACCCATCGCCCAGGTATTAAGCCCACACCTAATAGCTGTTCTTCCTGATTCTCTCCAAGAACCAGAGCTCAGCTCACTAATCCAAGTTAGCATGGCTTCTCAGATTCTGCCTCTTTAGGGCCTAGGTATCCATTTCTCAAGAGTGTTGCCCTCTGAATACTCACAGATGAATATTCCACAAGAATTGTCCTTGGCCTAAGGTAGTTGCCTTGTTCAAAGTTACTCTGTCTCTCTAGGGGCAATATAAATTCAATGACTGCTCTATGGGGAGATGCAGAGTCCCAGCCCCCTTGCCTCCATTGAGTACAGCTCTGAAGGTCTATTCTAGCTATAGAGCTCTCTCTGTGGGACTGGCTACTGTCCCTGTTGCAATGCATCACCATTCAACATAGCCCTGTGCCCAATCTTACTTTCCTCCCTTGGTGATACTTGTTTTTCCTGAGAGCACTCCCCAATAAACCACCTGCACACAAACCTGCAGCTTGGACTCTGTTTTCTGGGAAACCTGATCTACCTGCCACAGCTTGTGTGTTTTAAGGTTCAAAGAGCAGTACACATAATAAATTCTGTAGAAATATTGAAGAAGAGAGAGTATACATTTTGTATAATTGAACATCTCGTTATTTCCCAAACCTTGCAAAAATGCTTGTTGCATGCATGGTCAGCCCAATATACTTTTGCTAGATGAATGGCTTGTGTGCTCAGGAAAACTGGCTAGATGTTGACAGGCAGGAGGGAAAATAACTATATAGTGATTGACTTGGGTAGCAGAAAGAATATTGTTATCATTCTCAAAAATAAAGAATTGAACCAAGGGAGGAAATGTGAACTGATTGTTCCTTGTTGTGTTGAGTCTCAGGATGTTTAATAGACTGGAATTTTGGAACTGAATTAAGTGTAAGTTCAGTGTTCATTTTTCCTTTTGATATCTGACTCTGTTTCTGAAGGAATAGAGAAAAAGTCACTTATTGGTCCCAGCACTTGTACTCTGAGGTACTATAAACCTTTCTCTCCTAGAGAGTCCTAAAGAAGAATTTTCAAAGGCAATTTATCAAATATATATATATATATATTTGAAAATACCAAATATATATATGTGTGTGTGTTTATACTTTCGTAAAAACTTCCTAGAGCACAACTTGTAGTTAAGATGTGCTAACTCTTTGATATAATTCTGCATTTAGAAATGTATTCTAAGAAAGTAATTCAGATATATGAAAGAATGAACCTCAAATTGATTATTAAAACAGTATTTAATCATAGCAAACAACTGATAACATAAATGCATTAGATAATTTAGATTATTTTTATTATTGATAATTTAACAATGCCATCGATTGCTTCCCTCAAATGCAATATTATATGTTCATTAAATCAATGCTAGTTGAATATTTATCAATTTGGAAGAATAGTCACATACAATTTTAGAAGGTATAAAGTATTAGCTATAGTATAATATTCTTTTTTGCTTACAAAATAAACGTGTATTTGGTACATATGTGAGTATGTATGTGTATATGTATTTGTATATATGTACACATACATGTATCTGTGTCTTTCTCTTCATATATATACACACATATATATAAATAACCTTCATATATACACACACACATATATATACACACATATATACATATATATACATATATATACGTATATATATACACATATATACGTATATATATATACACATATATATATAACTAACCTTCATATATACACACACACATATATACACACATATATACATATATATACATATATACATATATATACACATATATATACACATATATATATATACACATATATATATATATATATATATATACACACACACATATATATATATAACTTTCAAGGACTCAGAGGAAATACACCAAAGTGTAATAGTGGTTGTTCAGTAGAGAGATTGTGAAAATTCTTTTTAATTTATATTTTTCTGTTTTACTATTGTCTTTCTGTCCTCCCTCTTACATTTTTAGTTTCCTCTCTATCCAGATTAAGTGCCTTGATCTATTACTTTAGCTATTTTCTTGTCAATATGCTAAACTAACTTGTGATTATCATATGTGGCTGGCAGAGTCTCAACTGTGATTGACTCTAACTGTAGAAATTTGTACAGTTCTATGTCCAACTCTGGGCTGCTGATAACAGCTCAGCAAATTATACCCAGGTCAACTGGGAATGCTAAAAATAGAGGGTTAGACTCATGTGCACCATACAAACATAACTGCTTATTTACCCATTCAGTTCTCACTCTCATTGCCCCCAGCAACCATTTCAAACTCCCTCTCTTGTCTTCAAATTTCTAACCACCTTGACCTCCATGTTCTGTTACCTTTCTCAATCTTCAAGTAGTCAACCTGAGCTTCAGATTTATCTAGAAAATAGAACACATTGGATGGGAAACTTCTCATTCTACAAATGACCCAAGTCTATATGTCTGCCTCTTCCTATTCCCTTTTTCTTTTCAGTTCCACTCATTACAATGGAAGTCCAATTCTTCCAGTTCCTTGGATCCATTCCTTCACATGTAATAAAGGCCAGGGCACCACATGCTGCCCCCTTTTAACTTCACTTCCTGTATATCCTTCCCCAGTAGCTCTTTACCACCACTTTTCTTGCCTTAATTTTATCATCCTGTTGACATTTTAAAAAATATTTTTGTGTTATAGGAAATATCTTAGATTTATACAAGGTTAAGTATGTAATGTTTTCTTGTGGGTAAAAAAATAGACAGTAACATATGAAAACATCCATGTACAAATTATTTTAACCTGCTGCCGTATTTGCTTCTGGTTATTAAAAATGCAAAATAAAACCCCAAATATTAGGAATCCTGTCAAAGAATTTTCTAATTTCCTTCTTCCCAGAGATAACTATTATCCTGAAGTTTGTGTGCATTATTCCTGCTTGTATTTTTTATACTTCTAGGACACATAGTCTATCCATTAAAAGCTATATAGTATTTATGGTTTTTAAATTAACTCTTAATTAAAACTAATTAAGAGTGGCAATAATGTATGCATCATTCTACTAGCTGTTTATTTTCTTACTCTTCATTATTTCTGGAATCTATCTAATTTATACATGTAGATCTTGTTAATTTTAATTGTTGCACAGTATTTCATGGTATGCATATACTGTAATTTATTGATCCATTTCCACACTTACGGGCATTTAAGTTTGTTAGAGTGTTCAGCTATTACAAACAACGATGCAGTCAGTAACATTGGACATGTCTCCCTGTCAACATAAGTACAAATTTCTCCTTTGAGTAGATTTTGCTTATTTACAGATAAAATTACAATAAAAGTGTGGGATTTTTTTCTGCATAAACCTGTTATTTTTCTGTCATCTTATTTATATTCTCCATTTATCTTTTTTCCCTCCTACTTTTCCTCCAGTTTCCCTGACTGACTTTCTTAATTCATTTTTCTTCTCCAGGTTGATTTGAAAGTTATGCATGCTATTTCTATTGTTTAGTGATTATTCTTACATTTTAACAAATTTATTTTATGTATCTTGAACATGAGTCCTAGGCTATTCCATATCTCTCTTCCTTCCCACAAAATAAGAGTTTTAAGCATAACTTCTGTCCAAAAATTCCACCTCACCCAGTGCTTTTTTTCGACTGTTGTTTTGATGATGACAGCTTTTGAATCTCATCAGTATAACCTTGCATGGATTATGCTTAAATAAACAGTAAAATTACTTTCTCTTTTAGAGTATGCAAGATGAACATCTACCATGCAAAAGTTAGGACATGGAAACAGTGGAAAATCCCATTGGTTAAAAAGTCTGGCTGCATTTTTTTGATGCCCAACTACTGACAGTTTTAAAGCCTTATCCTTTCTTTTTCCCTTCTGCCCCGTATCTGGGCAAGCTGATTAAAAAAAAAAAAAAAAAAACAAACCCTGGCACTCCCTCCCTTGTCTCCAGAGGGAGGTTCATATCACATAATCCCTTTTCCTTGTGTGGGAACCTTTACCCAAGACCAACCCCCTAACCACAATAAAAATTTTGAGCCTAAGGATGGGGCATTTTCTAGCTCTCAAGTCATTTTCAGATCTGTTTGAGGGCTTCCTGCTTGCACTAGAAAGCCTTTTTATGTGAATGTTAAGTCTTTTTATATCCTCTTGTTGCAAGTGTGGCATCAACAGTCTAGACACAAAGCAAATTTGGGATGGGGGTCCATCCTGTTTCTCTGGAGTGGTGACAACACCATACAAATCCAACTGAGCCACATCAAATTTTCCTTCCCAATAATTCCTTAGAAATTACACCGGAAATTCTCACATCACCTCATCTTCTACTTTTAGGTCAGAGCTAAACACAGTCTGCATATTCTAAGACAAACACCGGTGATAGATAAAACTGACACTGCTCAAAGATTATAACAAAAACAAAGTTCAGGCTTTATTATAAATATAAAAATAATGGAAAAAGAACATGAGGTTTCAGAAGTAAAAGGGTACCATTGGTATAGATTACTGTAAATAAAAGATAAGAACATTCTGTAAACCATTATTCATGAAGCTAATTCTGTGAAAATACGAGAAATATATGAGAAGTTCATGAAATCAAAAGATGATTTATGAGGAATGAATGGGCTAAAATGAAAAGGAAACAGATTGGGATGAAAGGTTCCAGCTGAGATGATGATGATAAACAACTATACCAATGATACCAACACAAATGATGCTGCAATAGACTGAATGTTTGTTTCTTCTCAGAATGTATCCTTTGGGTTTAAATCCTAATCTCCAATGTAATGGCATTTAGGAGGTGGAGCCTTTTGGAAGTGATTAGGTTATGAATTACCTCCCTCATGAATGGGATGAGTGCCTTTATGAAAGTGACCTAAGAGCTCTCCAGCACCTTCCAGTATGTAAGGACACAGGGAGAGGATAGCAGTTTGCAACCTGGAAAATGTCCCTTACCAGAACCTGATCATGCTGATACCCTGATCTTGAACTTCCAGCCTCCAGAACTGTGATACATAAGTTTCTGTTCTTTATAAGCCACACAGTCTATGATACCTTGTTACAGCAGCTGAACTAAGGCAGATACTAAGAATCATGCTCACTATTTAGTTTGATTACTATAAAGAGTTCGAGATGATCCAATAAATAACATCCTCCTTCTCCATTCAAGTTTGAGTTTATTGTTAAAATATGTAAATGCATGTATTAATATTAATACAAATAGGTCAAAATATTGTGCTTCTTACAGGTAAAACTGATAACTGAGGGTGTAGCTTTCCTTTACAGGCAAGGATGTACTAATACTAATGCTGAATCTCAAAATTAGGCTTCCCTAGTCAATGGTGCAGGCCCAGGAAGACCTGGAAACATGGAGCAATTAACCCACTTATGCCCAGTGTTTCATTATTGGAATGCTAAGCATGTGGGAGTTATTTATATCCTACTGCTCAGGGTCATCACCAAGGTTTGATTTTTCACTCATGTAAAAATTCAAAAAATTGCAACCTCAGGCATAAATGGGTTAAGGGGGAGGTAGTTCTAAACAGACAACTTGCAAAAAGAAGAGAAGTAGGATGAGCATGCCAAACTCCTTATATCTAACTCATAAGTAAGGTGCATGCCTCCTTTTCGCAAAAGATAGGAGTGACTGAAGGCCTGGAAGGAGGCCAGTGTTATAAGTATTGGTGATTCTCCATAGGAGACTAAACCTTAGTAATACACTTTTTCCCAGTTACCCCCATCATGCCCATAGGCGATCAGAGGTGTAAACATTCCACTTACAGGAAGAGGTCAACAGTTGGGAAAGTCATATTCATACTTCATGACACCACTCATCCAATAATAAACATGGTTCTTTGGGTATTTTCCTGAGTTTATCAGTGGGAAATATGAAATTTTGTTCCTATGAGGAACTAAAATGCTTCCGAAAAATACACCAATTGATGAAGTCAAAATCTATTCTGTACACAAAGCTTAATTTCTATAATCTTTCTATCCAAACTAGACATAACTAGGTTTCCCAACATAGTCTATCAGAGGTTCTGCAGAATAATAAACACGGAAATTATATACAGATTTTTAAAATTTGAACATACTTTTCAATATCAAATTCTGAGCAAGGAATTAAATTTCAAATATTAAACCCCCTTGCATTTTACAACTCGAAATAAAGATGGAAATTTTTTTAAAATTTTCCTATTGAGAAACAATTCCAAAGAAATTTAAATTTGAAATTTCTCCTAGAGAAAGGAGTATGGTACAGTGAAGAAGAACATGGACTTCAGGGTCAGGATACCTGGGTTTTAATATCTGTTCTATCACTTAATTGATATAAAATTTGCTTAATTGGTAAAAATTAAATGCTTCTCTGCTTTTCTCAATAAAATGAAGAAAATTTTATTCTTGATTTTAGTATGAGGATTAAATGAATGAATATAAATCAGATTGTTAGTGCAGTGCCTGACATTCACACTATGTGATGGTGAGTAATATTGCAGTATTCTCCTAAATGTATCATGCTGCTCAATTTAAGCTAGAATAATTCTCGTGTACTAGATAAAGCCTAGATGCTTTCAGATTTGTATTAGTTCAATTCCATTCTCCTATGTGTTTCGTTTTTTTTAATTGTGGGAGATAAAAACATAACATTGATCTCAAATAATAGAATTATGAAAACAAGGTAATTCCTGCCTCCTAGAGCAATTATCTCCATGTAAAACATTTTTCTAGGACCCCTTTCAGTAAACCATTTGTGTTTTGAATCAAATACATCCTGCCTCCCTTCAACCCTTGGTGTCCCACTATTTCCTACCATCTAGGATGTCAAAAAGTTGATTTCAGTTGCCTATAATTCATAGGAAAACTAAGGAGATGCTTTTTAACAAGATGTTACTTTTGGCTAATGCTGGTCACTTGTTACCAATTGCTCTACCAATGCTTGCATGAGTAACTAGATCTGCTACTTGAACGGATTTCCAGAGAACTTCAATATCACCAGCTGCTCACTATTAACTTCTCATATATTTTAAATGCCTTAATTCCTGAGATCCTTATATATGTGTCAAATTTTAGCTCATCTATGTCCTGTGGTAAGCTCAATTGGAAAAAAATTCTCAATAGAAGCTGATTTTGGCATTATGTATTTACCATATTCTCCTAACATCTCCTTTCTGTGAAAGTAGCATTTAAGGTATTGAGACTTTATAGTAAAGTCAGAAATTTGCAATAATAGCATTTCCAGTCACCAGGGCTTGTGTGAGGTGCATTTGTTTTTCAGTTAATATATTCTAAACTTCTTCAATTTTATTTTCATTTCGGAGTGCAGAATTGAGGGTGGGTTACATCTAGTGACACAGCATCTGTAATCCTATGCCACACTCTTCCACTGCCTCTTGCTATAAATTTCCTTGACCTGAAGACACTTGAGTTATCTCCTGGGGAATCTTCTCACATATACTATATTAAACCAGACCACAGCTGACTTGATACTAGCTATTGGGCGTGACTTTTCAGTCTCTGGAAAAGACACAAAAAGTCCACTAACAATCTTTCCTTGGCCCTGGATGCAGAATGGAATTTGGCAACTGGTCTAGGACTATCAAGCTAGTTCTGATCCTAACAATATATAGCTAGAACCTCGCTAGTTTCAGAAGAATATGAAAAGCTCAGTTATTTTGTTAAAAGAAGCAATCTTTATTACATAAATTCAAGCAAATGTGTGCAAATTAGCCTGTAATACCAGACCCACTGCATCTATATAGTTTGAGGTCAAGCTTCACTAGGACCGTTAGGCTACATAAGGTTGTCTGGACCCACTGGAGCCCAAAGTTTGCTTGTTAGTATCCTCGCAGGCCACCAACTTTGTTAGCACTTGTCTGGTTCCCATTATCTACCTAGTTCCCTGTGCCTTTCCTGAACCTGTACATCCTATTCAAGTTTGCTAAGTACTATGTTGTTTTGCTTAGGCAGGAGCACTCAATCTTTTGGCTTCCCTGAGCCACACTGGAGGAAGAATTGTCTTGGGCCACACATAAAATACACTGACACTAATAATAGCTAATGAGCTAAAAATAAAAATCACAAAAAACTCATAATCTTTTAAGAAAGTTTATATATTTGTTTTGGGCTGAATGAAAGCCATCCGGGGCACATGTGGCCAGAGGGCCATGGGTTGGACAAGCTTGGCTTAGAAGCTGGTGTATATAGTTCCACTGCTACAGAAACAACCATTTGTCCTTAGGTAAAAAAGTTGCAGTGACAAACCAAAGTCAAAAATTCCCTCAAACGTCTGATGAATGGATAAACAAAATATTGTATATTTACACACTTGAATATGATTCAGCCATAAAAAGAATGAAGACATGATTTATTCTAGAACATAGATGAACCTAAAAATATTATGCTAAGTGAAAGAAGACACAAGACCACATATTGTATGATTCGATTTGTATTAAGCGTCCAAAATAGGAAACTACACAGGGACAGCAAGTAGATTAGTGGTTGTCACAGCTGGGGACAGGGTGAATTAGGAATGACTGCCAATAGGTACAAGGACGTCTTTCTGGGCTGATGGAGATGTTTTAGAATTAGTGGTAAGGAGTGCACAACTTTGTGAATACATAAAAAGCATTGAATTGAAAAAATTTTATGATATGAGAATTGCATCAATAGAAAGAAGAAAGGCTTAAAACTATATAACACTGCTAAAAACCTCCTAAATTGATGAGTCACATGAAAAACAAGTGTGCAAGTTTACAGAAGCTTTTTCATCAAGCATCTGGCATTCTCCATGGGTTAAGCCATTCCCCAGCATGTCAGCAAGGCATAAAGCATCAATGATTACCTCAAGCTCAGAGAAATTCTCTGCTATAAGTTAGGCATATCCAAAGAACAAGATAGCAAGGTATGCTATATGAGATATCATCCTTACTCATTGTTATTCAAATGTCAGCAAGAACCATAAACAACACAATAAAGACGACAAATACTTGAACATGGAATAGAAAGTAGGGTTATGTTCCCATGAAACAAACCATTTCTTCTCATTTTGGAGCGCCTAGTTTACCCTTTGAAGCATTAAACTCAGAGTTCAGAAGCATTTACAGAATTTACTCTTGAAGTATTAAATATATGCAGCTATCGTGAAAAATAAAGGAAAATTCCCACGTGGCCATTGCCTAGCATAGCACCTTCCCAGCTGACAGCCATGCACATCAGCTGTGCCATAAGCATCAAACTCCAGACATAATTTGTATCTCTCAGAATGCATTCCAAATTCTTTTCTTTAAGATGCCCAGCCTAATAAACCAGATACTGGGAATTTAAGGTGACCCAACAGACACACTGCTTTTTTTTTTTTTTTTCCACCTGAGTTTGAACCAAGGAAGAGGTAGTGGAAGAAACAGTAAGTAAATCAGAGTAACATATTTATTAAAAAGTTAAACTTTGACCAAGAGCAATCAAGAAAACGTGTCTGCTCTCTTCAAGTAGGCAAGGAAATTCCTAAAGGAAGCGAGAAAAGGGGATGAGAATTTATCCCTCACCTATCCTTCAGGCAACTGGAAGGGAGGAAAAAAGATGGAGAGGAGAGGGATGGAAGTATTTCTCCATTGGGTGCGTGGTTAAATGGAAGAAAACATCAGCAGTGGGGTGGTATGTCCTTTCTTCCAACATTATAACATGCTTAGTTTCAAGTGTTTTTTACATTTTGTTCAATTTAATCCTGACAACAAACCCATGAGGCAGGCACATTTACTGTGTCCATTTTACAGATGAGATAACTGAAGCTCGGCCAGGGCAAATTATTTGCAAGAGGTCACACAGAACAGCTGGTCTCTACCACCAAAGTGGTCTCTTTCGAGATAAAATTAAAAAACAAAAACAAAAAACCCCACTAAACAGATCCCGGGGGAAAGAAAGGAGTAAAATTAAATCCTCATAAGAAAGAATAAAGTACAGAACTTCCACTACAAAAAACAGCAAATCAGTGTTGTATAGGTAAACATCGGAATGAAGAAAAAGGTCACAGGAATGAATATGAAGAAAGAAAAGAATAGATAGGAGAGCAAAGACCAGAGAGCTAGTATATGAATAATAGGGGTCCCCAGAGAGGAAAGCAGAACAAATGAAGCTGAAACAACAAAATCACAGCAGAATATTTTCCTATCCTGTAAAAATAAATTGCAGTTTTCAGATAGTCTTGCCATGTTTTGAAGCAAAAATACATTTAATAACACTGAGCACTTAATATATTGCTAGAAAGTTATTATATATATTGTTTAGTACTTTGATAAGAAAGAGATAGCAAAATATAGTCCTTTCCCTCAAGGGGCTAAAAATCTATTGGAAAAAGCACATAAAAATATAATTGTTTAATATATGGCAAAGTCAGTGATGGACATAATGTAGGTTTGTTGTAGCACCAAAGCAAGG
This sequence comes from Homo sapiens, assembly GCF_000001405.40. Taxonomy (NCBI): domain Eukaryota; kingdom Metazoa; phylum Chordata; class Mammalia; order Primates; family Hominidae; genus Homo; species Homo sapiens. The sequence goes on from NW_025791768.1 coordinate 27,336, forward strand.
CAAAGTATTGGTTAAGGGCTTAATGTGTCTATGGGAGCAGGCATCCAAGACAATATGAGATGTAAATAATGAATTATGTCCAAGCACTAGATGAAGGGAGATGGAAAGCATAGCTATTCAAGACAGCAGGACAATGTGGAGGAATATATAATAATAACCAGATAATATTCTATGGGAAAATACACAGTTTCTTGTTTCTGGATCAAAGAAATCCAAGGTGGGAGTTAAGAAGCTCAGGGCCAGAAAAGTGGGCAAAAGTGAGTTTCAACGACTGTGTGTGCCATGTTGTGAAGTAGACACTTTATTCTGAGGTGATAGAACATCACTGAAGAGTTTTTTGTAGGGTAAGGAAAATTTTCATGTGACATGAAGCACTGTTTACTTCTCAGAGGGTGTACTAGAGAAAAGGAGACTAGTTGAAAGGCTATTGCCAAAGTCTGGGTAAGAAATAACAAAGACTCAGGATAGAAGGGAGTAGTTACAGCAGAAAACAGGATGGATGTGAGAAATGTTCAGCTGTGAAAATAGAATTAAGTAACTCATGGATAGGCTGAAGGGTAAAATGGGTAAGAAGGGCTCAGTGATGCCTTCTGTATTTCTAGCTTGATGACTGTGTTATGAGGCTGGAACATGATGAACAGAGAAATAAAATGTTGCATATTAAATTTGTAATCCTCCCTAAGAGGAGATGCAAAGTTATTGTTTTATTCTTAATTTTGATAATTACTTAAATATAGGTTTGACTGCCATTTAACAAAATCTGAAACTCGTCACTAGGAGAATTACATGTTTGTCAACATGCCAAAATCCCATAGAAAATTATTTAAAAATATAGCCCATGTGGTCAAATGCTGAGCCAGATGAAAGAGCAAAGTGGCAAAAACAAAACAGAAAAAGCACACCCAGAAAGCGTGAAACAGGATTACAGAATTTAATATAGGCAGAGTTTTGAAAATAAATGTACTTTAAACACATTCATTAAAAAAAAAAAACTCTCAAATTGGGTTAACAATATACAACTTCTTGGATATTATGGCAGCAGCCTGGTCATGCCTGACTTACCTTTCATCACTTTCAGTTAAACACTCCAAAGTGTCCAGCCCGAGATAAAAGCTGACAGCAACACAGCTGGTTGATGAAAAGAGAAGCCCATATTCAAATTCCAGTACTAAGCCCGCTGGCAGGACGTTTGATGAGATGTTCCCAGAAGCACAAACTTGACCAGAGAACAGTCTTCTCTCTGGAAAGAAATTGATTGTGAAAGTCACCTTCCACCTTCCACTACCTGGCTGTCTCCCATCCCACATCCTGGACACGTTTCAATGTACTCTATCTCAGTCAAGGGCACAGCGATCTATCCCGTTTTTATACCTGGCTCCTAACACTTTCTGTATTAGTCTGTTATCATGCTGCTAATAAAGACATACCAAACACTGGGTAATTAATAAAGGAAAGAGGTTTAATTGACTCACAGTTTAGCATGGCTGTGGAGACCTCAGGAAACTTACCAATATGGTGGAAAGGGAAGCAAACATGTCCTTCTTAACAGGAGTGCAGGGGAACTACCCTTTATAAAACCATCAGATCTCGTGAGACTTACTCACTGTCATGAGAACAGCACAGGAACCTCATGATTCCATTACTTCCCATCAGGTCCCTCCCACAACACGTGGGGATTATGGGAGCTACAATTCAAGATGAGATCTAGGTGACGAACCAACCAAATCATATCACTGTCCCTTTCCTCATGCCTGCTATCCAATCTGTCAGCAGTTCTGAGTATTTTACCTCCAAACTCTTTTACATTTGATTGCTTTTCTTTCTACCACCATCACCATAGTCCAAGCTACTTTCACTCCTGAACTTCTTAAGCAATTCCCCCACAATCTATTTCTTGCTCTTTCATTTATAAAGGTTTTCCTGGAGTGCCAGAGTTACATTACACGTGCATGTCACTCTTTTTGGCACCATAGAGACCAAAGTACTGAACAAGACAAGATCCCTGGTCTGAAAGAGCCTACGTTTTAGTTAGATTGACAGCTAGTGTCTGCTTGTATTACCTTTCACCAGGTAAGCTACTTGCTTTGGGGAAAACCAAACAGGATAAAGGCTGGGTCCTTCGTGAAGAAAAGATCTTGGAGAAAGTAGAGTACAGAGACCATAGCCGAAGTCTTGGTAGAATATGGTTGGCTTGAATGGGGCTATCACTGGGAGTCCTGGAAAATACAAAGCAGCAAAAAAGCAGAAAAAAAAATCACTAAAATTACACAAAATTTACTGGTAGCAAGCACAATGCATCGTATACATATTGTTTTCTTTGAAAATTTTGATCTAACAACTTTTGATCTAACACTCTTTGGAAACTAAAAAAGCAATACTCACACATGTGTAAATATTAGATAGTTAAGAATATTCTTTGCAGCACTACTGCTGCAAGATATGGTAAGAAAAGGATTAGCTCAGAATATATTTGCAGAGAAGAGCCATGGAATTTGAACTGGACGTGGAATGTGAGGGAAAGAGGACTCCTTATTGAATGAAAGAAAGGTGATACTAAATTGGTGGAGCTATTTGTTTGAAGTGTGAGACTTGGGGAAGAAGTCTGCTGCACAAGTGGAAATAATTCAATGGTATTCTTGGACTTTTTTTGATAATAGAGAGATACTAATATTTTGTACATATCAACTTTTGTAGAAAGTCTTAAAATGTCTTAATCCACTTTACACTTTATTAAGTGGAGTCTAATGAAGAAATTGAGTATTTATTTTCTGCCTGATGCTCTTGCGAGTCATTATCGTTGTTCTGAATATCAGTTGTCACTATTCAGGCCTCTGACATGAGATATGCAAGATGAAGGAGATTCTAGACAAATAGAAGAACCACAGTGCTTGATTTCAAAATTTTCAAAGAAAACAGTATGTATACGGTGCACTGTGCTTGCTACCAGTAAATTGTGTAATTTTAGTGATTTTTATTCTGCTTTTTTGCTACTTTGCATTTTCCAGGACTCCCAATGATAGCAAAATCTGTGGGTCCTCAAGTCCCTTGTGTAAAATGATGTGGTATTTGCATAAACTATGTCATCATCTCATATATTCTAAGTCATCTCAAGATTACTTAAAATACCTAATACAATTTAAATGCTGGGTAAATAGTTGTTATACTGTATTGTTTCAGGAGTAATGACAAGAAAAAATGTCTGCACATGTTCAGACAGATACAACCATCCATATTTCTTCTGAATATTTTCAGTTCACAAATCGGTTGACTCCAAATAGATGTGGAACCCATGGATACCAATTGACTATTACAGTGTAATAATTTTGTGTGCTTATTCAGCTATAATATGTAAATACATTTTTCACTTTTTAAGATCCAGGTACTACTTAAATATTCAGAATCAAGATATGAAAGTGCTTCCTAAGACTCTCCTTCAGATACCCATGTCAGGAAATTCAGATGTTCACATTTCACTGTATATTGTTCTGGGGATTTTCCCCATGCCTTCAAATATGTCTATCATGTCTTCTTAAGTTTTTCTAAATATCTGTATCTACACAAATATATATCTTTTCAATGAGCTCACATGATATGTACCATTTTAAAACTTGCATTTTTCATTTGATAATGTCTGAATTTACTTCAGCATTGAAACATATAGTTATCCTTAATTATTAAATAAATAAAAAATAAAGCAAAATAGAACAAAATCTGCCTCATATTTCATAGAATGGGTTAAACATCATTTATGTAAACATTTCTCCATTGATTTATAGTTCTTTGTTTCCTATTTACTAGTAAAAGTAAAAGTAGTGCTGCAAAGACTATTCTTAACTATACAATATTTGTACATATGTGAGTACTGATTTTTAGTTTCCAAAGAGTGTTAGATCAAAAGGTATGCACACTTTCAATTATTGCCGATACAGAGTTGACCTTCTTAAAGAATTACCAATGTAAAGTCTTATCATTAGTGCATAAAAGTGTTCCTTTCTTCAAAGCTGATCAGTAGTTGATTATCATAGGTTAGTTTTGGGGGTTTTATTTGTTTGGTTTTAGAGCATATGTGATGGAAAGTGTAAGAGAGAGCAGAAATCTAGATTCCCGTAAACCCCTTCAGGGTCTTCAAACCTTCTATTTGACATAGGCAGAGATTTTTCTCCTTCTTAAATAAAGTGCTTTACAAATAGAGTTTTGAAGCTCCCTTTCTAACCAGATTGCTTTTTATATTGCCTTTTCAACTCAATAGTTATTTAAAAGACAGTGTAAAACTTCCCAAGTTAATAGATTCTATGGTAGTCTAATTTATGTTTAATTTGTATTTTTTTGGCTGCCTGCACTTGAAGAATATGGTTATAATTTACTGAGCTCTTTTTTAAGCCATCATATATGAGAATATGTTTCATGTGTATTTGAATGAATGTTTATTTTCCATTTGCAGGGTATGGTGCTTTATTTTTCAGGGTAAGACTTTCTATTTGCAATGTGGTTGTTTTATTTAATTCTTGATACCCTTATTTGCTTTTATTTATCTATTTGTTTTGTCCAATACAGGGAGATGACACTAAATTCTTCAGTAATGATTATGGATTTCTCATTCTCGTGTTTTTTAATGAGATTGTTTTAAATATTTCAAAGCTATAATAGCAATTTTAAAATATCTTAAAATATTATAGCTTTTTGGGTGAATCCATTTGTACGTTTTATTTTGTCTAGTTTACAACCCTGTATTCCTTTGCATTCTATTTAATCTTATTTTAACTCTATCATATCATCTTTTCTTCCCTCATCTTTTGCTTGGCATATCTTTCTCTAAACCTTCATTTTCAAGTCATTGAAGTATCTACATATGATCTTTAAAAAAAATCTTGCTTGACCTTTAAATCAGAAGATTTGTATCTTCAGTTATTTTTTGATGCTTTCTTATTCTACTTTCTGTTCTCTTTAGCTGGATTTTCTGAATCTCTCCTTCATGTCTCTTAAATTTCACTCTCAGACTTTCCACCTACTTTTCCTTGTATGCATAATTGGAGAATTGAGGCGAATCCCTTGGCTATATCTTCCCAGTAACTAATTTTCTTTGTATCTATGTACATTCTGCTTCTTAGCCTGAGTGTCGTGACTCTGATTATGGAAGTCATGTATCGTGATACCCCAATGTACACCAATTTGACTGTCAAGAATTCTCAAAACTCAGCCAAAGAATACTGCTTTGCATTTGAATTGTGTAGACTTCATGAGTATCTGATTACCATAAAAGGATCTCAGCTTTATAGTTGTTGTGTGTTATATTTTGTGCTTGACTAAGAATACTCAAATTTTCACAATTTACTGCAATGGTAATTTCATGCAGAATGATCATTATAATAAAAAACTCTTTGAAAGTGTGATATAATTTGTATTATTTCTATTGATTCATTTTGTACTTTAGAAATTGATTCAGATTTTTAATGAAAGGGTGACTTCACAAACGTTGGGTAAAATGTTTTTTGATTGTTTGTTTTAGAGACAGAGCCCTCCCTCTGTCACCCAGGATGGAGTGCAGTGGCATAATCATAGCTCACTGCAACCTCAAATTCCTTACCTCAAATGATCCTCCTGCCTCAGCCTCCTGAGTAGCTGCCATTGTGCTCCATGGGTCAAATGTTTTGTTAGTATTTCTTAAGTGTACAGTATCTCGTATCTACACAAGTGTTTATTGACAGTAAGTAACCAGCTAGATTATAGACTAAAAATACAAGAAAAATGCATTGTTATTTTATGTATCAATAGCTAATACAAATTATCAAAGCAATTATCTCCACTTTAATATAATTTGGTGCTATTTTAGTATAAAAGTACGTCAAATTGGGTGCTCAGGAATACATACTTTTTTCACTATTGAAACAAAAAATTTCCTAAAGATTTTTAAAATAAAGTCGATTACTCCCCAAATATGGGAAAAGACATCTCTGGTTGTCTTCTCACCTTAGCTTTTATGATTCTTGCTCTGCCATTGAGGGATAATTTTGAAATGCCTGGTCTGTCTTCAGTGACTCCAAGGGAAGGAGGAGCTTGCCAGAGATAGTGGATAGTGATCACCCGACTACCTGGTATGCTGACAACTCTCTGGAAATTAGGACCTTTCGGGGACAATGCTCTGTCCCTGGAGCACCATTCTTCTTGCCTTGGTAAAGATGGAAATCTCTCTGCATCCCACTGCTGCACGCAATCCAGAAAAATTCAGTTGGCTTGGCTGTCGAGTTCTCCAAATCATCCCCTATTCAAGTTCTATCCTTCCCTTACTGCCCAGGATTCTATTAAGCCTGGATTTAAAGTTCCTCAGAACTGCCCTTGACTCTGCAACAGTATTCCTCTATGAGTTTGGCTATATTTTCTCTGGGTTTGCTTTTACATAGATCCAATTCTGCTTGTCATCTATCTCTTACGAAGTCCTGGAACTTTCTGGTTTGTTAATAGCACTGGGATAGTAATTTATTTTAGAAGCACATTTTCTGCCCTTTCATGTGATTTGTGTGTAGTTGGGTCAGGGTTGACATAAATGCTTAGAGATCATCTAAGCCAATCTCTTCCACATAAATATGATTTATAATTTGAAAAATTGCTTTTTTGAAAGATGATTATAATTTCTTTAAAAAATCGTAATTACTATTCTCCCCTTCCAAAAGTTAAGTAAAATATAACTCAGCCACTGCCTGCTCCCAGAGAGGAATCTAGCTGTCTGTGTAGAGCTGATGAATATTTGATATTTGTGATAGAGATTATAAAATGCTTTTTATTACTAACTAATTAATGACTGCTCTGCCATTGTCATCCTAAGCAAGTAGAGAGCAGTGGGAAACTAACCTGAGTGAAATGTGAATAGGAAAGAAGACTTGGAGGTGACAGATTTTATTTTTAGGCTTTCTGTGTGCTGCTTAGCACTACAGACTATAGCCACTGCGAGGTGAGCTGCAAAGGGCTTGCTGGGCCCACTTTCCCCGGTTGCACTTAGAACAAAGGCAGCATTGCGAAGTGCTGGCTGCATTCTCTGTGCTGACTGTGCAGAAGGGCCTCATAATGACATCAATAGTCGCTCAAAGCCCAGGGATTTTTCTTCTCTAAAATATGTCTCAGAGTCAAGGAAAACTTACTGCTTGATATTCTCCAGGTCCTGCAGGCTGCTTTTGTCCAGGCATTATTTGTAACTCCTATTGTATTTGTTAGGCAGAACTTCATGGAAGATGTTTTATTTTGCTTTCCTAATATGCATATTTTTGACAACCTCAATTAACAAGAATTAAAACAGAACTTTCAGTTCAGTGGCTTGGCTTTTGCCTTTAGCTATATATCCATTTCGGGATGAAGAGAAAGTCTTGGCAAAAATGCATGATTTGGTTCAACATAATACAACACCACACGATATACATGCACATACACATTGCAACAACTGATGTAGCCTAGCAGGTACATTTCAATGAAATATTCTATGATTTTTGTGCCTTGAGCAGTAAAAAATGATCCTCAAAATGATGCCCTTAAGAATATGCAAAGATAGCCAACTGATCAAAAAAGAAATATTAGAAATTGTTCACCATAGTCTCCTTACTCAGCAGGGATGTGAATAAAAAGAGTTGTACCTATGGAAGACTTTGCCCAGTAGGAAGTCTAGTCATAGAAACACTGTCACTAGCAACTAGTGACCTGGCAGGCAGTCAGCCAGGGGGATAACTACTTTGACCTCTCTCTTCTTTGCCCTTCCATTTCCTGCTGGTGTCTCACAATAGCAGAAAACAACCAGAATCCAGAGGGCAGGGGATCCTGGTGTTGCAATTCACAGATGCCACCATCTCAGAGCCTTGAGCAGAGTGAAGAACTGTGGAGGGAGGGTCTGATGTACAAGCAGAGGATACCCACCTCAGCATGGCAGGGGATAATGATCTCTCTTCACCAATACTTGGATATTCTTTATTTTGACTTCAGTGAACGATGGGTTTGCTGGTGCCTGTCATTTCTATTAGTAGCACTTCTTACCTGGATACACTGATTCCAACTTTTGGTGATTCCCTGGGATCCTTTTTTTCTCAGCTCTGACTTGGAAGCACAGAAGATTTCTCAGTTTCCAAATCATGTGACAATACCTATTTGCTTTTGTGAAAATTAAGCTTCTGAATGATTAGTAAATTCAGACCAGGTCACAGCTAATACGTGGTAGTAGATCCGGGGTTAAAATCACTGTCTATTTGGCTCCCAAGTAATTGCTTTTTCACTTGTCTTAAAAGTCCATCTTTCTACTTTACTTACTTAACTTAGTTTTCACACTCTTCATTTTTTCCTGGAGTCAATCTCTTAAAATTTCTTAGTGGAACGCTCCACTTCATATTCTCTTACCCTTCTTCTCCATCCATTTATGATATTGTAACCAGTCCTTCTCCAAAATCCTCAGTTCTTTCAACTACTTGAACCCAAGCATGTGACAGATCCCCAAGCTGGGACCATCAGACCATCTTTCTTCTTTGGAAACAAGTCATAAAATCAGATGTAAATGCTCTACTCTATAGCAATGCTTTCTCTTCCCATATGTGTGTACAGAGCAATTTTAAATGCCCTTTCCCCCTTTTCGATTTTAGATTTCCTTTTGTATCCTCTGAAGCCAAACCTTAACTGACTTCCTTAAGAAATCAAAATAATTTATGTTTCTCTCCCCTACGATAGATGACTTGCTTCCTATCACACTGAGAAAATAATGACCCTCAGCCATGAATTTATTTTACTTTCATTCTACCTAAAATTCATTGATATTTTCATCAGTCTTTGTCTCCTTGCCTATGGATTCCATTCAATGAAATCCAGTAAACCTTTATTTGAGCACATACTGTGAGCCAGTCAATGTGCAGCATCCTTGGATATAAAGATTGATTGTGTACAAAATGGCAGAAACTGTGTCCAGTTGTTCTCCATTTGATTTGAGTGGAGCAGAGGAAGTGAGAAGACAAAATTGTGGCAGATCTAGGTACAAGAAAACTAAAACACATATACTAAGTGCTGTTATAGGCACAAGGGCAAGGTACTGTTGATTCCAGGGACAAAGCAGCTATCCTCACCTGGGGGAGTCAAAAGGATGATTCACAGAGGAAGGGATATTTTCTCGGTCACTCATGACATCCCCACCGATCCGTTCCAATTTCTTCTCTACTCCTCTCATGGGAATTATTTTTTTTCCATTTCACTTGGAAATTGTAAAACCTCTACAATTTCTGTAAAATAAAGTCCATCCTCTCTGGCATGCCTTTAAGAGGCACTAGTTACATTGCCATACTTTTGCTTTCCGTCTCTACTCCTCACAGTTTCCTTCTTACATTCTGGACTCCAGCCATCCTACAACACTTTCCGTCTTCCAAATATCCTTATTGTCCTTATCTGGTGTTCTTTGCATAGAATTCTTTCTCCCTAATTTTTCTACCTGTACAAATTATCTTCTTCTCCAAGGGCTAACTAAAATACCTCTAAAAAGATTTACCTGATTTTTCAGTCATAGGCACTGTTAGTCTCTCCCTTGTCCACACTCTTATCACACTTTATTTACATCTCTCTTACAATACAGGTGACTTTAACGATTTCTTACCTGGTTTTCTGCTTAATTTTTGAATGCAAAATCCACAATTCATGCATTGCTTCTCTACACGTTTCCTGGTATATTGTGAGTGTTCCGAAAATCTGTATTGACCAACATTAAAACATGCATAACCGCAAATACATACACATACATATATTTTGAAGTAAAGACGCGACTCCAGTACTGGCTGAGTAGTATTCAGACGATTTGTGAATCCTTTGAGTCTCAATTTTCTTAGCTGTAAATGGGCATTATAATCCCCTACCAACTTTACATCACTGTTGTGCAAAAATCTATGTGAAACTGCTTTTAAAAAAGGTAAAATGAGTATAAATAAGGATAAATAAGCATTCTTATAAGAGATGTTTGTAGCAGAAAAGAAAACTTAGGGAACCCACAAACAAAATTAATTTTATGAAGTGTTATCCCTTTTACTTATTCAATAGCTACTTGGAAGTGTTGCCCGAGTTATACTGTTGCAGGTGTGAAAAAGCACAGCAGGAGAAGCCAAACATATTTGCTCATGGACAATAGTGCTTTGAACAAGAGCACGGCATTTGGGTTAGTGCAAATGAAATGAAAAGGCCTTGGAATTGGAAGGGAAACTTAACTTTGAATCTCTCATTCATTCAGTTTTCAAACATGAAAGAGGACAACCGTATCTCCTGCAACGAATATGGAATTTTTAAGCAAAAGTGTGCTAGGTCACAAATTAGAAAGTTAACTTTTCTATCAGCTAACTGTATTATGATATGTACATTAATATATGCATGTAGAATGCATTTTACATGTATCAAAGCTTACACCCACACTAACATGTATGTGCACAAATGTCCAATGTTACTTATTTGCTGAATATAATTAGAAGAGTGGTTAGGGGCCAGAGTCTGGGATGATTATCTAAAGTCTTGGCTCTGCCTCTTCTGAACCATTGTGACCATTCTGAGCATGTTTTTTTACTCAAGAAATGCATGTAGAATTATTTGAGTTTGTTGCAAGAATTAGAGTAGCAATGTGAAGCACTTTATTTTGTACCTGGCTCCTACTATAGATTATTTGATGAGCCCTGGATCAAAACTAACCTAAAAACTTCACACATCAGCTCAGACAGCTGACCCTATTCAGTCCTTTTGCCCACGGAGCCAGATTCACAACCAATTCACAGCCTATGTGACTTAAATCGAATATGAATTTCTTCATTTGCTCATTGTTGTGTTTTCAATATAAATCCCATTTCCATTAATTTGTCAGAGACCAAAGTCTCATCCCATGTAACTCGACTGGGAAATCTGGGCCGAGCAAAGTTTGGGATTTACTTGGTTTCAGCCCTGCACAAGAGCCCGATGTGCATGATGTGTGGTATGTGACGTTTGGTCCTGCCCCTCAAGGGCACCCTGAGGGGGGACCTTCCTGTGTGTCCCAGGATGCCAGCTCCCTTCTGCAGAAGGGGGATTTGAGCTCCCCTGAGGGTATCTGAAACTCTTACTGGGTGTGCTTCATTAATCTTTTCCTGACTTCCCATGCCTCTGTATGCTGTGCTTAACTTGCTGTGACTGGTGTTGATGGAAACCAAAGAGCAGAGGCAATTTACATCTTGTAAACCATAGAACACTGGACACCCCCCTTATGGCACATCTGGAGAGACTTGCATTATTTAGAGCCTCTATTCTTCCCCACCGTCTCTAAAATCTTCAAGCATGCAGAGCAGCTGGCTCTTAGACTCGCACCTGATTATATGCTGTCTTTTTATTTTTTAATTGGAGCATGAGAGTCACCCTTTTCTCCCTGCAGACTATAAACCTCTCCTGGACAGGCCCAGGGTGTGACATTTATTTCACTGCCTGCTGGCAGCACTAAGGTCAGTGCTACCAGCAACTGGGTTGATGTTGGCGGCTTAATCAGGCAGAGTTAATACATAAATAAAGCTGTAAGTTTTGAAAAGTTAGATGTGTTAGGTATAGAACTTCTCTAATAACTTCACCAAAAGAAATGGCAGATTCCTTAATCTGGGATCTCTCTCACCTTATCTTAGGCAGGGTGGCCTCAAAATCAGATGCTGAGACATGAACTTGAGAGCAGGTACTTTCTTTAGGTGGTAATCCCTAGATGAGGGAGGGGTGAAGGTGACAGAGAAGGGTACAAAGCCAATCAAGGGTGCCTTAATAAGCAGGTTACCATTGAGGATTCCATCTCTCCGGGGATCCTCTGAAAAATTGCATAGACTGAAACTCAGTATTGTCAGTATTGTCTCACTAAGGAACAAGGCACTGAAATGCACATGTATGGATTTCCATCTCTTGTTGATTAAGGCTACCTTTGGAGAGGTGAATCTCCTAGCACTCTGGACTGCAAGATCCTGGCTTCAGAGAAGCCCTCAAGCAGAGGACCTGAGATCTGTGTGTGTTTGGAGTAGGCAGCTCTTTGCATGTTTGAAAAGTCTCCCAGAGTGTAGGTGGACTGACAGGTAAGCTGAGGGCCTATGGAGTGGGATAGCAATGGCATTTGCCACTCACCATCCCTTTACAAAAGGGGTGGAGAAAGAGTCAATATGCCCAGCAATCCGAGGTGTAAGAAACAGTGAAGAATGTTCTAAGCTCCATGTAATTCTCAAAATACATATTCCCAGACTTGCATTTTGCACATTTGCAGGTCTCTTCCCAACATGTCAAAGGCAAGTTTACCTTTTTCATTTTCTGAGCTTCTTCAGTACCTTTGTCTGTTTTGCACCCTCTGTCCTATACACTGGACACTGGTGATATCTGCACTGGCTTGGGTGGAGAGAAGTATCTCTATATGAAATGGGCTATTAGAGATCAGTTACCAGATCTCAAACAAGCAGGAAAAACCTAAAGAGACTTTGTAGTTGGATAGTCTAAGAATTCAGTCCAGGTTGTGCTACTTATTACTGTGTGATCTTGAACCCAGGACTTGTCACTCTTAAACCCTGTTTTCTTCATCTGCAAAATTAGAATTATATTGCAGGAATATTGTTGGCATCCAATGAAATAGTGAATGTGAAGCAACGTTATTGTGTCTGGTATACAGTAGATGCTCCAAAAACCATACCTTTCTTCATCATCATCATCATCATCATCATCCTTTAGCATTATGCCCTTCGCAGAATAGATCTCAGAAAACAGTTTTGCTGAATCAATTTATTTAATCAAATTCAAATCAATTGGTTTTGCTCATGGTTTGAAGATATGGTGAAAGTTGATGGAGTAATTGAAATCCTAAGCAGTAGCAGAGCTGCTGGGTAGAAATTTCAGACCTCCAGGTGATCCTTGTGTTCCCTCAGAATCATCAGTGAAGTTAGCTGTTGTATAGAGAGCAAGCTTGTCCAACCTGTGGTTCATGGGTTTCATGCAGCCCGGGGCAGCTTTGAATGCCACCCCAAACAAATTTGTAAACTTTATTAAAATGCTTTGAGATTTTTTGCAATATTTTTTGACTCATTAGCTATAATCAGTGTTAGTGCATTTTATGTGTGGCCCAAGGCAATTCTTCTGTGAGGCCCAGGGAAGCCAAAAGATTGGACACCCTCATATAGAGGCTGAAGCCCTTTGTTCTGGTGTTGACACAGCTTCCTTGTGGTCCTAGCCTCTCTCAAACAAAATGGGAGACAGTTGGAGAACAGGAAGTCATTGGAGAACGCTAAAGATCTATCACGTAATACGAAAGATAATAATTACAATATTTTGACTGCTTATTCTCTACTAAAAATTGTGCCGGTACTTTAAATACACAATTTAATAGTTAAAACAGACTTGTGAGGTGGGGACTCCATTTAAGAATGGCTTGGAGGGTTTGGGCTTATCCGGGCCACTCAGTCACTTAGTAGGGCAAGAGTGCATTTGAGCCATATCTTAATATGACCAGAAGCCCAATACACTTGGCCACTACTCAAATGGGAAAATGGAGAATACACAAAACCTCTTTGGATACAGTCAAAGAAATTGATTGGTATACTTGTCTTTTCTCTCAGAAAGTTAGTCTTGTGCTGAAAACCTGGACCAAAATTCAGGAGATGTGTCCTGAATCCCTTTCTACCAGCCAGCTGCATGACAATGCATAGGATAAAATGGTGGTTAGGAGCAGAGACTCTGGCATGAGACTGGGCTTGAAGGAAGCAACCTCTGCTTCTGTGTAGCTGTGTTACATGAGAAAGGAGCCCCATTTATGACATAATTTTTTTTCCACTAGAATTATTTTCCATGAAGCCAGAGAGTTTTCTGTTTTGCTCAGTGCTGTACCTGAAGAACTTTGAATAATGCCTGATATGTAGTGAACACTCAAAACCTTTACTCGATGAATGGGCATATCATTTTCAAGTCTCTGGGCCTCTGCAGGCTCATCTGTAATTTGGAAATAGTACCACACGGCTTACAGAGTTCATTCACAACGTTGCTGTAATGGCCAGATAAGCCGCTGGTTCTCTAAAGCCCTTTAGAAAGGTCTCAGGGGCCAGATCAATGGGAAACTCTGCAACCTTTGAGTAGTTTTCAGTAGAAGGGTAGCCCAGGAGAGAAAGTGTTAATAAGAATGTCCTGAGGGTACAGATGGTGCTTATGAAGAAAAATCCTATTTTTCCATTTGCAGAAATGATTAGCTAGGATCCTACTGAGTTCACTGCATGGGCCACTGCTAGTTTTAATTTGTACCAATAGGATGGAGGGATGGACTTTAATGAGGATCTGTGTTTTCTAATCATGGGCAATGTTCGAGGAAGTGGAAGAGGGGGCAGGGAGGGTGGCAGATAATTGGGAGATTCAGAAGATGGGGCTGTTTCTTGGGGATGGATGGATGCTTTGCTACCTTCCAAAGCTAGAATCCTATTGTAGTGATTCTCACCTGGCTGAAGATGGGGGTGGGGAAATCATCATTATGCACAGAAACAGGTAGCATGAATATTCCAAGTACATGCTCCATGATGAGACATCTGGGTTTGCCACTTTACCATGTGAGCTTTTAGGTTCTGTTTCCTTATTTGCCAAATATGGAAGACAATTATATTTATATCATAAAATTATTGTAGTAAGTATGATAATAAAAATAAAGGACTAAGAATAATGCCTTGCATGTATAAAGTTTTCAATAAATTTCTGTAACTTAAGTTTGTGAAATTATTTTAGTTATAAATGCCCACCCATCTGGAGAAAATAGCACAGTATCCCCTAACCCTAGAAAGTCACTTCTTTCAATATAGCAACACCCATTCCTTGAATGTCCCTTTCTCATGGAAGAAAATGGGGTATGTGTACTGTGATAAAAGACTACTGAGTGATTTTGTTGTTATTCTCCATCTTTAATATCAGTTAAGAATCATTCCATGTTAACAGTGGAGAGGTCTGTGATGAGTGCATTGCTGGAGCGGTAGCAATACATAGATTCAAACCATCAAGGAGAATTTCCTGCAGAAGTGATTTGAATTTAAGCAATGGTCTTAAACTCTCCCATCCAACATTTATCTACATACGTATGTGGGGTTCACACAGTGGCTCTACGTGCTGGAGTAGCCCATGTGTTCTTTTCCTGTGAATTTCAGAAGTAAATATTTGCAACCTGAAGACAATAGTGATCATTTTCCTAAGAGCTACAAAACACAACGAGATTTTGCCCTACTCCAGTGGAACTCAAATGCAAGACCGAGATTGCCTTTAATTGGTTGGCTTGTATGAGAATCTGATGACTGTTTTGGGCAATGAGAGCAGAGGAGAAAAAGTAAAAGGATTCTTCTGGAGTAAGTGTATCTGTTTTGAGGAGCAAGAATAGTCTATGTATTTCCTACAATTTTATGAATTTTTAATACATGACTTCATTTAGGAGGGAATCGATAGGCTCACCTGAGTCTGAGATCCAGATGGTTCAAGGATTACTGACTTAAAAATCAAGCAAAATATTTTCCTATTTTCTTTCAACTAGCATAGAGATTGGAAAATGAAATATTCCCTTCCTTTAATGAGATCCTTGTCTAGAAGGGGAGAAAGACATATCAAACAAATAATCACAACATAAGTAAAATAAATGCTATGGGGGCACAGAGTCCCTGGAAAATCAGAGGAGGATTTAGGACATTTGAACAGAATGGGAAGGTTTTTTTCTGGACAGGAGAAAATTCCCAAAGGTATTCTGCAGGTGAAACCATGGAGCATGGTGGTTCCCTGACTCTGTCATGATCGCTGGACAGCCAACAGCCCCCTGCAGCCTAGTCATCTGTATGCCTCAGCTCAGGAGCTATATACTTTATTCTAAGCCACCTCAGGGAAATGTCCCCCCATCAGCCTCACTCAGCAGGTTTTATCCTTCAGGGTTCTGAGTCTTCCTCTGAGGACACTTCAGTTCATTTGCTCTGGAGACAGGAGTGAAAAGAAAATATAAAACAATCCTCTAAAACATATCCAGGAAACATATTGTTGTGCAAGCTAATTAGCTTTTGAAAAAGCAGTGCTCTAATCAAGATTTCTATATACCGTGCATAGCCTAATTATAGAGACAGTAATACCCTGGATTTACAAAAAGCCTTTCAATATCTATCTCTGCAATTATTTCAATTATTCACCAAATATCCTTAGGAAAAAAAAGAGGTAGATGAAAAAGCTGAGTTTTGCAGGGGACAGTGCAGCATACATTATTTTCATGGTTGGAGCTACAGTCTTGATACTATTCCATCCTCAGGGTCTGAAGCCCTGGTTACAAAGAAAAAGAAAACAATGATAATACTAGAGATTATGCTACAATTGATTATTTTTTGTTGCTGACTAAAAGATTCCAGGTCATGGTCTTGCTCATGCTTATCTCTCAATTATTTTCTAAATGAATAAATTAATAAACAATTTAATAAATCAATGAATCATATGGACCCAGATTTTGACAGAAAAAGCCCATACAAAAGTAGTGGTCTAGAAGTGCAGACCACATATGTCAGATATGAATCAATCACAAAATGGTTAATGTTCAAACTGGCTGACATGATAGTTTAGAAAAGTCTCCTTGGAAGAGAAGGAGCTCAAAGACCGTATCAGGAAAAACAAGTGGGAAATTGCTTTACTTGTTTAAAGCCATAAAGAAAAAATGGGAGCAGTGAGTATGAGATAATGAAGGAAAATTGTCAAGCACATAGTAGGCACTTAGTAAATAACACAGAGGCTTAGACATGTCTTAGCTATGTCTTTTGTAAAATGACACCAATGCAATTATTTTGTCTTTAGAGTATGGAGTCTCAGTAGCTTCCAGGAGAGTTCAAAGGGATCCATGTTTCCTGAAGTGTCTCCTCCAGCTTGCACTCAGCAGGTTATGCAGTAGTTTCTTTCATGATTTTCATTTCTGCCATATTTATGACTTTGAGGTGACTTAGTCTTTAGTTAAACATGGCACATAGGAATACGGCTCTTCATTTTCTGATTTCAATCAAAGCCCTTGCTGTCAAGAAGACTTCTCTTGGTTTTATACTATTAAGCCCACCCCTTTTATTTTTCTTTCAGAGACGACATCACATGGGGGTATGTGGGTAGGTGAGGACAGATACTCGGATTGAATACTAAGCTAGGTAGCAGAGTCAAGTCAGCAAAACAGAACAGATATGGTAGTTGAAGCTTCAAGATTTGCCCAAGGACAGCCACAAGGATCAGGCAAGGATCAGCCACAAACAGGACCGAGTTCCTGCATTCTTCATGATTTATGTTGGTGGATATAGACCTGAAAATGCACACTGACCGCCAAGTATGGCATATGCTTCAGTGAAGGAGAATTGCTCCATATTGGGACAGATAGAGACAGCCAGTTCCTCTGGAGAGTCTAACAAACATCCTAGAAATTATAGGTAACAGGATACAGAATATAATGTGTCAGGAAGACCAGTTATGGAATGACTGTCTTTATATGTGAGCACCTGTTCTCTATAATACTGCAATACAAATATTATTTTTCCTGCCAAATAATCTCACAACAGCCTATTTTTCACATTGAGTATGTATATCCTAGTTACATTCCTACATTCTCTGTCTGCAAAGTATTATTTTCAACTTAAACAAAAAGTAATGTATCCTTTCATAGTATCTATCCAAAATAAGTTAAAGACAAATGAAGGCTATGACACAGATGAAAAATTACCAGGAAACTTCAATAGAGATACTCTGTTATAGAACGAAAATGCCAGCAGAGAAAACTGTTCATACATAGAGTGATTCTGAGAATGATTGATGGATCAGTTTCCAAGATATTTGGGACTCTGCAAACTGTTCAGAAAATAAATTGTAAATGAGTACAATTTTATGGATTTGGAGCTTCCAAAGTAAGTTTTGATTTTGACTGTTCGTTAACGCCAAGAAATAAAATTTTAAATTGGAAACAATTCACAAAGATTTTCCTCCAATTATACTCATAGTAATTTATTTTGCTGTATTAGATAGATACATCCCTGGTAAGTTTGTTCTGTGACATTTGACTTAAGGCAAGTGATGCAAGGTAATCGTGGGCAGAAAGGCTGCCAAAGAGAGAAGTAATGTGATCAATAGGCTTCTTTTGTTGTTGGCAAACACTGTCGGGATGATCAGCGTCAGAGCTTGGAGCCAGAGAAAGCTAATAAGATGAGTGGCATGTTTCCCGCAATATGCTCCAAGTATTTATGTGCTGTTCAAAGCAAGATCTGTAAACACAATGAGGACAAAGAGAATACAACATTATTGATGATATCCTCCTGATTTATGTTTACAGCATCTGTGGATAATAACTCCATTTGTCAGGGAGACCCTCATGAATACTAATTTGGGGTGGCAATTCAACCATGACCAGACTGGCTTTAGGTAATGCTCTTTCACTCTTATGTGGTTTGCTGGGAATGTAGTACTTGGAGTGTCCTTAATCTCTCTCTCTTTTTTTTTAAAGGCACACTGGATTCAGGAGATTTGAGGTATAGTAATTTTTCAGAAGTTCACAGGTGTTTGCAAGATCACATTTAATAAAATAGAGGATGTGCAGTATTTTTGAAATCAAATCTGTGTTTCTGAAAGAGATTCTGAGTTTAATTCTAATGTCTCTGAGTACCAAAGAGAAGCTTAACTCCAACCTCTACTTTGGATGAAATATGACAAAAGAGCAAAGTCCTTAAACTTATTTTCTTTAAAGCATAAATACATGATCTTGTTTTCTCCTAATGTTTGCTAAAATACATTTGTTAGGCTGTTAGAGACAATGTCTTAGATCTCAGGAAGGTACACACTGTAAAGATAGGGAATGGAACTAACAGGTCATTAGAAGGGGTGAAACGGATCATTTTCTTTACTGCCTGTGAATCTGCCAGAAGATATCCATTCTCTTTGAGAATCTTAGCCAAAATTTAAGCAACCTAATATACTAACTGTGGTTCTGAAAATTCCCTTATATTTCAAGATTCTCAATCCATATTAGAAAGAAATTGTTCTATAGAGTGTGCTATTTTCACTAAAAACTTATCATTTTTTTGGTCCATGCATAAGTACACTGCCTCCTGCCAATCCTACCTGCCAGAGATGGTCCCCTCTGCACATGCCCTTGCCCTGTTACTTGACGCATGCTTATGAAAGTAAAGCACACTGATCTTGTTGTAGAAGGAGAAAAGGCAAAATAAGGTAGGAATTCAGACCACAGGGAGGCCATTCTAGAGGCATCAGCCAAGGAGTAAGTCAGCATTCCAGGTACACTGGCCTGCTGGGCACTTAAGTTGCTCTCTGTTCACTGAAGAAATAGATTGCTTTTGTTTCTCCTTTAAGCTTGCTCAATAGAGTTATTTTTACTACTAATATAGAGGATATTTATAAACGCTGCTCTTATTCATGCATTTTATATGACTGATTTTTCTCAGGTGGGATTTCCACCAGCACTCTTTAGAAAAATGCTACCCAAAACACTCACAGGTTTTCACGTTTATTCAAGTTACTATATTACACTTATTGACCTACTGTACCTTTCTCTCTGGCTCCCCTGCTCAGTTTCTAGGAGAATCCTACACAACCTTAAGTGCTCTGTATTCTTGCTCATATCTTTCTATAAGGAAATTCACTGATAAGACAGAATGGGAGGGTCCAAGTGTGAACATTATCTGTGAGGTTTTCTAGTCTCTTGACCAAGTTTTCAAATTCTAAGCCCCATGAACCAAAATACATTCTTATAATAGTTACAGAAATCCAGGCCCAAGTAAGATTATTTTAAATTTCAAATTACACTGGAGAACGCCAGTATCACCCACCCCATCCAGGCCTGAGTTAGAACTGAGTTAGTTCTGAAAGCTGCTTCTTATTGCATCTCCACAGGAAATAATTATGCTCAGAAAACATAAGGAATTTTTCATAATACTGGGTTGAGTGATCTTGAATCAAACTGAGATATGTCATTTCTCATCTGCTAAAGAAATGGCTTTGGATAATAATGGATAAGATATCTCAAGTACCTTGGCTGGAAAAGGAAAGCAAATTACATATTTTCTGAAGAAGGAAATCTTATTAGCTCTATTATGTAAAGGCTTATTCATTTTCTTGTGACTTCCTCTATAACATTGCTCCTTCTTCCTTCTAGTCCATCTTAAGAACACCTGTTGAGTCCAGAATTGTTAAGCACTTACTTTTTCATCCCAGCTTCAGTCCTTGATTTATCCAGTTGGTTGGTTGGTGGCTGTGACTTCCTCACAGCTGCTGCAACTGTTGCTACCACAATAGAACACGTTCTACCAACAGCTAAACTCCAGGGAGGTAGAGATGTTAACTCAAAATGGTTTAAATGTCCACAATTGCTAATGTCTCATAGAACAACTCTATTCCAATTTCAGGACTAACAACAGTCCTGTTCTCTTCTTCTCCTGACCCTAAATTATATTGTAATTGAGTCAAAATCCCAGAGACTTGGATAGTACATTGAGAAGAGAAAAATGACGATAGCTCTGGCACTTTGTTGAACTTTATAGACTTTATCTGACCCTGACTGAGTAAAAAGATGACATATTACTGTCTTCCTGGGGCTGGTGTTAAGTCAGGTGTGGAAATAGCAATAGAAATATGATCTGTCTTCCCTCCAACAGTTTCTGAGCTGGGAATGGGCCCCTGAAACCTAACTCTATATTCATCATCTCAACCTTCTCGTTAAAAACATGTATTACGCTGAGAAAGTTGAATGGTCCACAGGTTACTCATAACTTCCCATTTTAGAGATTGAAAAGACCTCAGGGGTCTAGTCCAACCTCCCACCAAGAATAGGAATCCCTTTTACAGGATTTATGATCAAAAATGTTCAAGTCTCTGAGAATGTCCAGTGGCAGACCAAATTTCCTTAAAAATCAGCCATACTCCAAAAAGATTTCAGAACACTGCTTTCTTCCAAACATCAGTTTCAAGCCACTGCAATAACGAATGGGAGTTTGGTTTGTAAAGGGATAAAATATCAGTTGTTAGGAGGTGTGTGGGGCAATACTTATTGGATAGATATTTTAAAGTGATCTGGAGGTTTTCCCAGTACACTGACTTTTTGGAGATTGGTGAGGATTCCAGAGGACCCTAAAGAAGGACATGAGGTGTGGATTGAGGAGCAAAAACAACCCCAAAAAACAAAATAAAAATATTGTTTTTAAAATCTGCCATGAAAGAAGAGATGCTTCACACGGCCCAGCTACTCAAGGTGATTAATGGCAATAAGGTGAAAGGTCTCCAAGGACTTTACTGGCATAGCTGTTATGCCTCTGTGGGTTGCTACTAAAGCTGAAGTACTTTCAGTACAATGGCGTCATTGAATCCAGGTACGGACTAGATCTGTGAGATGAGAGAGAAGTATTGCTCTGCATTAAGAGATTAATTGATATCAGTGCTATATATGCTAAGATCAATGGATAGCCTCCACTGGCAGCTAAAGATGAGTTTTAAACTTTCCAGTTCCTCTTTTGGATTGATCATTGTATTTATATAATTCTCTTTATTCCTCTATCTCCTACAGAAATGAATCATTCCAACATATGAACCATATAGGCTTTAATGATTTCACTTTGGGTCAGGTCCACTGGAGTATTAATCATACCTAAGGGCTGAGTTAGGTCTCTGTAGATACAAATGGCTTTTAAAATTCTATTTCATAAAGTTTTATTTCTCTGAATTAAACAGAGCCTTATAGCAGCATTGCCTATGGTGAGGACAATGACTTAAGTGTGGTCAAACTCAATTCCCCAAAACTTCATTTCCTCTCTTCTGCATCTTCATACTATCTCTCTTTGGGGTCATTTTTTATCAATCTTACGTACTCTTTTATCTCTGATCTTAACATGTACATGCATGTGAACTCACACTCAGGGATGCACCAAAAATCTCTCACTTAATACTGCATCTTCTAGCCACTGTATTTCTCTTCCCCTTTATAAAGTCAGACCTCTTAAAAGCAAGAAAATCTGCACACTGACATTTTTGCAATTCTTCAGCTCACCCTTTCTGCTTCATGGAGGCTAGGCAGTAAATGTGTGAGGAGTGGGGCAATGACATCACAGTTGGAATAGTAGCTAAAAATGGAAAAGAGTTTTGCAGAAGAGTGGCCAGACTGAGACTGCAAATGGTTATAGAAGTACATCTCTTCTATTTTCACAAAGTAGTTATTAGTATGATTACCACTGATTTGGAAAGCTAAAAATTTGCATGCTGAAAAAGCACAGAAAATTCAAAGTCCTCTTTTAGAGCTAATTATCTGGGAACATTAAACTAGACAACCCTTCAGAGCTGGCGTTGTTGTTTTCGATTTTATGGCATCGTCTGGTGCTTTTTCTGACCTGCAGCACTTAGGGTCCAAGGAAGTTGTGGCTTAGACTTTGGCCAGCAGGAGAGCAGTCCAGCTCAATGCTTAACACATTTGCCCTCTGTTCCACCTACAGATGCTTGATCATGGCCAGATTTAGCTTTATGAGACTTTCACAGAATATTTTCTGATTTTCTTGATAATGTGCCAAGCCATGAACTAAATGATAAACCAAGGTTCCAAGCCCTTAGGTAGATAAATCAGGATCATGTCCTTATCTGAAACTCTGCTGCCATTTCTAAAAGGTTTGAATTAGTTCTGTCATATCAAAAGCAATGTGTGTAGTCATTAAAATGGAAAGAGATAACAAACTACACTTCTGATATAAAGAAGAATACTCAAAGCCCAGCTGATGACTTACTTCTTAAGAAAAAAAAGTATCGGTATACACACAGAAAATAATGTGATTTTTGCAACTTTTTAGAGTTTATTCGATCATGACTTAAACTTTAGTAAAAAGTCACATTAAAATTATAACGTGACTTCAGGTCATTTGTTTGATTATATTTCTTTATTTTATATAAATGCATTCAATGCTTATTAAATGCTCTTCTATACTTGTCTGTACCTGTAAGAGACAACAGAGAAACAGATATTAACAAGTGATTTTTATGTATGTGTGCTTTAAATTGCATTTTTAGTGTTAATTGGATAATGCCTATTCCACCAATGCTGCTTTGGGAAGTGCTCAATTTGCAGAGAACAGAATCAACTTTAGCTAATTTAAGAAGACATAGGGTTTTTAAAGGTTCTTAAATGACTTATACAATTGTTGACAAGGCTAAAAGGACATTCTAAAAGTAATTGTTGGAGTTATACGATAGAAATGAGCCATGAGGGGGGTTGATTATTCTGCCATAATCCAGACATTTGCCTGTGGGATTGGCAATCCATTGATGCAGCTGCTAGCTCAGAACCCTGTCACTACTTTTATGATTTAGACAAAAAAAGTGGGTGTCCATAGTCTGTATTTCTCCTCTGTAGTCCTAATTTCAGCCTCTTGCTTGTGCTTCTGATTCATGGGAGTACATCATCTCTGAAACCACAGCTGCAAGAAATTTTAGAGACAGTAAATTTAGTTTTAGCTTTTACATTATAGGAATATATCATAGGAATTGATGTGTGAGCAAACCCACAATATCTGCTATGGATACAAATCTCTACAATTGCTGGCCAATAGAGATATAATGCAAACCATATATGTGAGGAAACAATAGACACTGTGGTCTACTTGAAGGGGAGGGGGGGAAGAGGAAGAGGAGCAGAAAAGATCATTATCGGATACTGGACTTAAACCCGGGCGAGGAAATAATCTGTACAACACACCCCCGTGATACATATTTACTTATGTAACTAACAAACCTTCGCATGTAACTCCAAACCTAAAATAACAGTTTAAAAAATGGTCTGATAGCCACGTGAGAAAAGTAAAGAAAGACAAGTGAAATCAATTGTAATAATGTTTTACTTAATTCAGTATATCTCAAACATTATTTTAACATTTAAAATTATAAATGGCATACTTTACACTATTTTTACGCTGTCTTCAGAATTACATGTATGTTGTACATGTGCAACACACCTCAATTAAAAGTAGCCACATTTCAAGCATTCAACAATGAGTTGTGGCTGGTCACTACCCTATTGGACAATACAGATATACAATAATCCAGTGTTTGTACATGTATTAGTTCCTTCTCATGCTGCTATGAAGAAATACCCAAGACTGGGTAATTTATACAGGAAAGAGGTTTAATTGACTGACAGTTCCACAGGGCTGGGGAGTCCCCAGAAAACTACAGTCATGGCCTAAGGGCAAGCAAACATGTCCTCCTTCACATGGCAGCAGGATGGAGAAAAATGAGAGACATGTAGAGCGAAGCGGGTTAAAGCCCCTCATAAAACCATCAGATCTCGTGAGAACTCACTATCAGGAGAACAGCACGGGGGACCTGCCCGCCATAATTCAGTCACTTCCCAAGATGTCCCTCCTGCAACATGTGGGGATTATAATTTGGATTACAATTCAAGATGTGATTTGGGTGGGGACACATAGTGAGAACATATCAGTATATTACATATAAACTCGGGACCAATTTTCCACTAAGTTCATCTAAGCTTGATGACTTTCTTGTCTCTAAAAAGATTCCTTAAGGCAATTAGTTTCTCAAAGTAAATTACTAGTCTGTGTGCCCTTGACCTGTGCAGAACCTCAGAAACCTTAATGTTAAGGATGATGAATAAGTAACATGTGCCTTACACACCAACATGTCCATAATAAGCATTCAGTGCCTATTTTACTGTATAATTGATTGAATGCACTGATGAATCAATTAATGAATGGGAACAAACAGTGGGCATTACCTATTAGCATTGTACTAGATTAAGAAATTAAAATGATATAACATAGATTATGCCCAATACCCTTAAAGAGTGACTGTCATTCACTCTAACTTCATGAAATTCTTGCATCCGGTTGCTGATTCCAGGCTGACATAATGCAAATAATTCACACGGTATGTGATATTTTATTTCTTTAAGTAGAGTGCCTAAAATTAAACATAGAAACATTAAAAATGAGGTTTTCTGGGTGGGATTCAGATTTCTGAATATCTGAGTTGATAATGATAGCAGAGGGATTTTTTTTTTCAAATGCTTAAACTAAAACTACTGATTTCCTTGTGGCTTGTCAGATATATTAGCCCTTAATAACAGGGTGACTAAAAGAACATACATTGAATAATTTTATTCCTCATTCTCAAGCTTGCAGTATCCCTTATTAAGGAGTAACTTAAAAACAGAAGATGATTAAACTACTGTTAGAGCCACATTTGACAGTATCCCCACCAACACACTTGGGTTTACTGCTGACCTCAGTCCTCTATGAAAATTAAAGATAGAGAACAATTTCTAAATGGCATCAGTAATCTTGAAGAGACCTTGAGGTTCATGAATTTATGACTGTCAGTTTGTTTCATAGATGTTTGTATGTATTTCTATGGAAGCAAAAATCCACAATAAAATTTACATTTAAAAATATTTTCTTTAAAAGGCAACAAAAATCCAAATAAGCACTGCAATAAATGAAGAGACAAGAGTAGAAGAACCAGATGGCTTGAATAGCTCTTCTAATTCTGAGAGTTCATAGTTCCCTGGCTCCAATAACAGCCAACCTAACAGAATACCCAGACATTTGGATAGATTGCAATTTTTTTCTCCCACTCTGTGGGTTGCCTGTTCACTCTGATGACAGTTTAATTTGTTGTGCAGAAGACATTCACACGTATGTTAATTGCAGCACTATTTACAATAGCAAAGACATGGAATCAATCCAAATTGATTGGTGGTGAATATACACCATGGAATACTATGCAGCCATAAAAAGGAATGAGTTCATGTCCTTTGGGAACTCCAGGGACATGGATGGATCTGGAAGCCATTATCCTCAGCAAACTAACGCAAGCACAGAAAACCAAACACCACATGTTCTCACTTATAAGCGGGAGTTGAACAATGAGAACACATGGACACAGGGTGGGGAACAACACACACTGGGCCCTGTTTGGGAGTGGAGTGCGGGGAGGGAGAGCATTAGGAAACATAACTGATGCATGTTGGGATTAATACCTAGGTGATGGGTTGATAGGCGCAGCAAGCCACCATAGCACACGTTTTCCTGTGTAACAAACTTGCACGTCCTGCACACGTACCCCGCAACTTTAAAGAATACCCAGACATTTACACAAACAGGCTTTTCATCATTTTCATAGAAAAGAAACTATTTTTGCCTTCTATTAAGAAAGCACAATGCAATCTTGAGACAGTGCAAGGAGATGAACATGGAGAACAGAATACATGGTATAACTCAATGAAAAAAAATCTTCATTGAATGAGCAAAAAAGTAAACTTATAAAACAGACATGGATTACCTTCTATGGTCAGACATGTCATTGGTCAGTTGGTATAAAATAAGATGTGATCTCTGAATTTAAGGAAAAAAAGTAGCCTAAGGTGGGAAACAGACCAATATATAGAGAATGTAGTGTTAATAGAATATTATAAGGGGATATATTTAATTCTGTGGTATCCAAGATGAAAAGAGTATTATCTTGGTATCACGGCAGGTTGTGTGGAATAACTGTCATATGATTTAGGGTGTTAGAGAACGTGGTGGGAATGTACAGATGAAATTGAGGGATAATGTTTTAGAGAGAGTAGACAGCATGTAAAAATACTTCAGAGTATTATAAAACAAACTGTGTTCAAGGAGGCATAAGGTTTTGATATGAATGAAGATATGGCACCCACTTGTGCTTTCTTACCTCCTTATTGCTGTCTCCCGAACTCTCCCTGGAGAGTAATAAAGAGGTAAGAAAAATGACCAAAAAACTATGCTAAGTCTAGAACGTTTTCTCATACGTCATTCCAAATATGTTCACTTATGTTATACCAGTGTGTCCCAAATAATTCTGCAGAAATTATTAATGGGTAATCCAATAAAATCAAATGAAGGTAAAAAAATAAAATACTTAATTCTGTAGTTAAATAAAAGTGGGAAAATCTGGTTAAATGAGGTAAGGTTTCTTCTATGCAAAATTTCTCAGAGAGTTTGATATACTAATATTATATACATTATAAATGTTAAATAAATGCAAGAAACATTTCCAAAATACATATCACCATACAAAAGCATTTTTGAGCATGTAGATTAATAATCTGAGTTTGAGGGCTCTATGGAGCTCAGTTTAGGAAATGCTGTTCTATAGGTCATAAAAATCATATATATCATATCTACCTATCATATAAATTTTGTTGATAGTATACAGTATAATTCATGTAAAAAGATTACTTGCCAGCCTGTTGTAATATTTCAAGTCTACATTGTCTACAGAACACTATTTCCTTGAACAAATTAAGCACTATAGGAAACAACAAAAAGTGTTTCATATTTAAGTCAATTGTGAAAAGATGGGATAAAGGGCTTTGTTATTGCAATTCTTCTTGGAGTGAGATTGATTACCCAAGAGAAAGGAAATTACTAGTGGAGGGAGAGCTTGGATGAGGGGAAGTGAATTGGATAAAAATGGATGGCCTATACGGTTAGGTTATTCTCCAAAGGAGGGACCCTTTTATATATATATATATACAACATTGAAGAAAGCAAAACCGTGGTCAGTAATTCTGTGATCTTTGGTCTGTTGCTGTTTAGACCAGTAGGATCTCGCCTGGCCTCATTTAGATGGTACACAGAGATAAGACTCTGACTATCTAAGTTGCTTTAAAGAATTTTGAGAAAGAAGTTAGACATAAAAGGCTATTTTAAAATAGATGGCTACTGACTGGATATATCTTGCAATAAAAGCTGACAAGAGAATGAAATATGGGCTAAAAGACAGTGCAATTTGGTTGATTTGTAACTGGTTGAAAGACTATACCCAAAATGTGATTATTCATTTTTTCATTAGTTTATCATTCATTGATAGGCAAGGAAAATGAACAGGTGATTCACAAAAGACATACCCTAATGACCAGAGAACATACAGATGAAAAGTTTAACCTTACTGTTGGCTGCATGTCCTATATTCTAGTAGAAGTCAGTTCTTTCCTGCCACAATCTGTACCACTCTATCTTACTCACACTCCTGATGACTTCTACCTTAGGGAAGGAGAAACACTGTTTCTGAGCAGGAACATTCAAAATAACAATTTGGCCATAATACTGAGGGTGGTGTGTGTGTGTGTGTGTGTGTGTGTGTGTGTGTGTGTGTGTGACAAAAACATTAAAGGATAGTTAGGAGCCATCCATTTTTGGAATGGTGTGTCCGATGCAATATGCAGAGTGTACAGCTGCAACCCAATTGGAAAGTGTCATCATTCTAGGGAGACAAAGTAAAGGAAAGACTATTTAAACTTACCTTATAACAAAGAAAATAAAGATATAAAAAAAATCTCTTCAGTTTATAGTCTCACCAGTGCCGGAATTTCTGCTTAAGGCTAGTAATGAAAGTCTACATTTTCCTAGCCTTACCCTTTAAACATATATCTCCTTTGTGGACTTATCAGAAAGTGGTTTTATGGCCTCAGTAAGCAGTGAACAAGGATTCAAAGATTCAGGGCACTCTTTCTTACTATTAATCCAAAAAATGCAAATTAAAACAGCAAGCTATCTTTTTGGTCTATCAAATTGGCAAATATTTAAAATGAAGATATTATGCAGTGTTGATGAGGGTGTAGGGGCATAGATACGCTCATACTGCTGGTAGGAGTGTAAATTAGCTCAATCATTTTGAAGAGTAATTTGACAAGCTGTATCAAAAGCTTAAAAAAAAAACCCATGAGGCATTCCACTTCTAAGAATTTATCCTAATAGGATAATTCTAGGTGTGCTCAAATATTTATCTATATGCATATTCATTGAAACATTGTTTAATAGAAGAAAAATTGGAAATAATCTAAATGCTCAATAATAAATGTTTGAATAAATTGTGTTATATCTACAGAGTGAAATATGGTGAACTCTCTGAAATGCTGCTATACAATAATGATGGGGGGAGAAATAAAACAAGATGGGCAGATTATAAGAGATTTAAGAAAAAAATCAACCATATTCCATATTAGGACTTTGGATACTGATTTAACAAACTACCTCTAAAACAATCACTATGAGGCAATTAGGAAAATATATACACTGACTGGACATTTTATTATGTTAAGGAATTATTTTAAATATTCTGGGGTGATAATAGCATTGTAACATGCACCTTTAAAAAATGTCGTCTTTTAGAAACACATACTGAAGTATTTACTAGTGAAGTAATATAATGCCTAGAATCTGCTTTCCAAGAGCCCAGTGTGGGGAGTGGGAAGGTTGATGGGGATGTAGATAAAACACAATTGGCCAAATGTTGATAGTTATTGAAATTAGGTGATAGGTAGATAAGGATTTATTATGCCTTTATTGTGTATGGGTTTTCAATTTTCATAACGAGAAATAAAGATAATTTTGTTGAATAATTATATAAAATATTTTTATGATATTCATATAGTGTTGTTTAAAAATATGTCAAACAAACTATATAGAATAACCCAATATTTTCATATAGGAGCTCTATATATATGATATCCATTAAAATATATATATTGAGTGAAGTGATAAACTGCTGACTTTTTTCCCAAATGACTGTTTTCCATATGGCTGAGAGAAGAAAATATGCTTGAAGAAGCTTTGTCTAAGTAGTAGTTTGGGAAAAGATTATGGTTGACATTTAATGAAGATTCATTGGACAACTATTTAAGGTTTAATCTAATTTATAAATTTTCAACAACAAATTTTACTTTATTTCAAATGAAATAATACAAATTCTGAAAGATAACTTTGATTCTTTAAAAATATGCCATCAGCATGACTATATTTATTTGAAAGATTGAGGTATCAGAGCACCAAGAAATGACAGTTCTTCAATCTCCAGAATGTTACAAGTCTAGGCTATGGGAACTATGGTGGTGAAGGCCATATCTTTAGCCATTGTCTTTGAGAGAGAGGCATCCAATAACACACCGGTAGCAACAAAGACAAGATGAGTAAGGGCAAAGCTGAAATTGTTTAATGTATTTTTAATGATGCACTAGCTCTATGTTACTTACTTGAGTTAATAAAAACTCCTATTAAATCATTGTTTCTATGAAATTTCAATTTTTTAAAAAACATCAGAATAAATACATAGGCCTATATAATATATTACATCCAATATCCTATCACAATTGTTTAGTTTTCCATAATAAATAATTTATTTGAGCACATCTCCCTACATATCTCTGCCCAAATTGGCTAATAAATTTTCTGAACTTTAGTTTTCTAATTTGCAAAAGATGTTCATAAAAGTATATAATACTGGATTAATTTAAAAATAAGTTATATACAGTTTATGCAAAATCCCTTAGCACAGTGCCCAATGTTCTTTCTTTTCCTTCTTGATCCACCCTTTCTTTCCTTTCTCCTGTTTTTCCTTTTATCCTTCTTTCTTTCCTCCTGTTCTTTCCTATCAGAAATTTACCATTATGTGGTAAAATGCCTTGTACCATATAATAACTTGATATATAATTTTTTAAAGAAGCCTCTGAAAACAAAAAGTCCTGCACTCAGCAAATAAAATTCAGACTATTTACTATGTGGAAGAAAATTAATTAGATTCCTTCCTCACATAATACAGCAAAATAATTTCCAAAGGTTCTAAAGGCTTAAATATTAAAAAAAAATACAAAATATTGGAATATTTGATAGAAAGGAAATTTAAGAGCTGTCTGAACAGAACTGCCTTTAAAACTTGCAAAATGTTTATGCAGATTTTTGACTGCAGAAAAATCTGCATGCTCAGTTATTCCGGACACCAGTCCTCAGAAGTTCTTCCTCCCACATTTCAAAGTTTGCAAAGTTGTTTGCATCCAAACCCCACTTCTAAAATGGCAGTTTATCCAGAATTGTTCACAGAGTTTTAGTATCATTCAAAATAGTTAATTCAAGCCCTTGATTCAGAAGATCTGCCTCATTCATATGGCCAAAAATATCTTTCAAGGATTCTATGAATAAATCTCTCTCTCATAAGTGTTCTGAAAATGGGCTTTCCCTTCACTCATAAAAAAGCAAAAAAAAATTTCCTGAAGTTCAGTGAAGTACTCTAAGTATTTTTTTTCCCCTAGGAAGCCAGTAAAATTCTGTGTAGTGGAGAGTAACTTAGTATTGGATTTTGACTTTAAAAAAAAAAAAAAGCCTGTAAATAGTCAGTAGTTTAAGACCCTGGCTTTGATAAATCTCATCAACCTGCATGTGCTTACTCATTAATTCTACTAGGACTATGGGAGAGATTTTGTGGACCCTGAATACTGATATATGAAGCAATGAGTCCAGGTGAATTATGTATCTCCATTCTTCTTCCAACAAAATAACACTGCATTGCTGTCAATAACTAAAGTTGCTCCATATGTGCTCCAATAAATGAAATTTTTCTGCCAGTTGGAGTTTAGTTGGCAAGGAATATTTTCCGTAATTCAAAGATCTCAACAGCCTATCCAGTTTTCAAAAAGACCTCTTGATATATTAAAACCCAGGGACTTGCTGTCCTTAGAATCGTCCATAGTTTTTATCAGTTGTGTAGTAATCATGGACAGTGTGGCTGGCAATCTTCCAGTACCTGCTACATAGTTTTGAAAGGATATCACTGATTCTGAACAGCCATGGAAGAGCTGACTCAGCTTTCTTCATTCTGACCAAAGAGACAACTCCAAAATTTCTAGATCATGTGGTTTTAATAAACTTCAATATTCATTTGTTTGGCTTGGCAATGTGGTAAGAGATCTTACAGACTGTTTCAAGATAAAAATTTGTGTTGCAGAAATTTGAGTATCAGTACATTTCAGCTTCTTACAATCCAGGTTGGAGCTCATGGAAAAGATGTAAACGGTCTGCTTCCTCTTTTAGATGGAAGAAAGTAGAGCAATATTTTAGATTTATACACTCTATGCTTCCTCTGCTGAAAACTTGCCTTGTGAAAACTACCATCATTTTTATGTCCTAATACACCAAGATTCTGATTAAAAATGAGAAATGCACAATATTTCTAACTTAAGATGCACTTGTTATCAACAAAGCTAATAACCATAGTTGTAAAGACAGGGTATGTTTTTATTGATTCCTAACAATGAGAAGACACACCAGGCATCAAAATAATGCAATGTTAATGATTCTATGTTCTGCAATCATGCAGAGTATAATCTTATGTTTTAATTTGTTTATTATCAAATATTCACCAATTGTATAATTTTATATGGACCAAGAGTCTTTTCTTATACCTGCTGGTTGAGAATCTTTCAACTGACATTGCACCTATTTGCAAATATACATAACTCTGTCACATTTTAGTTCTGGACTCTGATGTCCTAGATTACCTTAATTAGGCTTTATTCTGGTATCTGATGCTAAGCACAAGCTCTGAATCACAGTAAGTATCAATGAGTGTTTGGTATGTTGAATTGAATCTTAGTGAAAAACAAAAAAAAGATAGGAGGAGGCTTCTAAAATGCTCATGATGGCAGCTTAGTTTTTCATTTTCTCATTTCTCTAGAAAACTAAAATGCATAGAAAATGAAAATAAATGGAAAGAGTCTCATTTTCGGTGAAATTAAGATGTATATAAACCTTGTAAACTCCATTGTTGTTAAGTACTTTTAAAAGCAATGGGATCAGCAGAGACAGGCCATACTTTTGCCTTTAGTGGGAAGGAGAGATGATGGGGCAATGGAAGAATAGTGTATGGAGGAGGTATTTGGAGTACAGATTTCAAAAGTCTCCGGAAATTATTTACTTATAGAAAGAGGACCCCACCTAAGTTGAAACTACCATATGAGGGTCTTAGATGAAATGAATTGTTTTGTTTTGTTTTGTTTTCTTTTTTGAGACAGAGACAGAGACAGCCTGCTCTGTCACCCAGGCTGGAGTGCAGTGGTGCAATCTCAGCTCACTGCAACCTCTGTCTCCCGGGTTCAAGTGATTCTTATGCCTCAGCCTCCCAAGTAGCTGGGATTACAGGTGTGCACCACCATGTCTGGCAATGTTTTTGTATTTTAGTAGAGACGGGGTTTTGCCATGTTGACCAGGCTGGTCTCGAACTCCTGGCTTCAAGTGATCCAACCGTCTCAGCCTCCCAAAGTACTGGGATTACAGGCACAAGCCACCATGCCCAGGCTGATCAAATGAGATTTTTGTGCTACACAAAGTGGAAAAAGAAGTAGCAGATCTCACACAACATCATTAAAATAACATGTAAACATTATAAATTAATGGGTCATTTAAAATCCAGGGGCAGTGTATTTTAGTGACTACAACTGGTGTTGAATTCAACAATAAGTGAATCATAGGATTAATGGTAGAGACCTAAGAAAGTAATATTTTAAAATGCTGGCACATTTTAATAATCACCATTCTGACTGGTGTGAAATATCTCATTGTGGTTTTGATTTGCAATTATCTGATTAGTGATAAGCATTTTTTCAAATGTTTGTTAGCCATTTGTTTATCTTCTTTTGAAATGTGTCTGTTCATGTCCTTTGCCTAGTTTTTAATTTGATTTTTTGGTTTTTGCTTATTGATTTAAGTTACTTGTAGATTCTGGATATTAGGCCTCTATCAGGTGCATGGTTTGCAAATATTTTCTCCCATTCTGTAGGCTGTTTGTCTACTCTTTGATACTAGCTTTTGCTGTGCAGGAGCTCTTTAATTAAATTAGGTCCCACTTGTCTTTTTTCATTTTTGTTCCAATTGCTTTTGGGGACTTAGCCAAAAATTCTTCACCAAATCCTATGTCAAAAAGCGTATTACCTAGGTTTTCTTCTAGGATTTTTATAGTTCGAGGACTTACGTTTAAGTCTTTAATCCATCTGTAGTTAATTTTTGTGTAATGTGAGAGGTGGTGGTCCAAATTCATTCTTCTGCATATGGCTAACCAGTTATCTCAGCACCATTTATTGAATAGGAAGTCCTTTTCCCATTGCTTACTTTTTGTCAAATTTACCAGAGATCAGATGGTTGTACATGTGTGGGTTTATTTCTGGGTTCTCTATTCTATTTCATTGGCCTATGTGTCTGTTTTCATACCAGTACCATGATGTTTTGGTTACTATAGCCTTATAGTATAGTTTGAAGTAAAGTAATGTGATGCCTCCAGCTTTATTCTTTTTGCTTAGAATTTGTGGCTATTTGGGCACTGTTTTGGTTCTAAATGAATTTTAAAATAGATATTTCTAATTCTCTGAAAATTTTGATAGTGATAACATTGAATCTGCAAAGTGCTTTGGGCCATATGTCCATTTTAACAATATTGATTCTTCCAGTCCATGAGCATGGATTATTTTTCCGTTTGTGTCCTCTCTGATTGCTTTCAGCAGTATGTTACAGTTCTGCTTGTGGAGATGGTTCACCTCCTTAGTTAGATGGATTCCTAGATATTTCATTTTACTTGTGGCTATTGTAAATGAGATTGTGTTCTTGATTTGGTTCTCAACCTACTTGATTGTGGTGAATTGAGTTTTTGATGTGCTACTGGATTCAGTTTGCTAGTATTTTGTTAGTAAGTTTTGCATCTATGTTCATTAGGGATATTGGCCTGAACTTTTCTTTCTTCATTGCATCTGTGCCAGATTTTGGTATCAGGATTATGCTGGCTTCATAGAATGAACTTATTTAAATATAAAAGAGATAAAAGAGATATACAAAAGAGATTGTTTTTATAGCAGCCAGTAGGGGTGACCCTTCCCTTCCCTGCATTATCCCTTATCTCTTGAAAGTAACTATTCCAGTGAAAATCTAACTTATTGCTATTCTAAATTAAAGGAACCAGTTTAACAGCTATACAAATATGTTTATAAGAAAAAATGTGTAAAATAGCAATAAAAGCTTCTCTACCAAAAGAAAAATAAAGAAATAAAACAACACACTTAAGGCAAAATGTGGCCAGAAAGCAGAAAGAAATGTATTTCTTGATATTCCAATAAAAGTCTTAAAATATCAGATGAATAATCTTAAACTATCAATGGCAGCTATGAAGGAAAATACTCAGCAGAAGTAAAGAACTCAGGGAAGTGAAGGCCTGCCATTAAAGCTAAATAACAGAAGGAGGTGAAATCAATATTGGAAAAATATAGGGGAAAAAAAAGAAAAATAAAATAAGAAATGAAGATTAAATTCCAAGGAGCCAAAGGGAGATGGTAAGTAGAATAAGGAACCTTTTTGTCTGTTATGTAACAAACCATCTCAAATCTTAGTCATCTTAAATAATGAGTTGTGTTTTTTTTTTTCCTCACAGTTTTATGGTCTGGTTGGGCAGTTGTTCTAATGGGCTTGCCTGGGTTTCTCATGAAGCAGCATTCAGCTGTGGGTTTTCTGTGCGCCGAGACCTGCTGGGGTGGCTGGTACAGCTGGGACATTGTCTCAGCGTGTTCTTTCACCTTTAATGAGTCTAGACCAGACTTCACATAATGGTCATGACAACATTCAAAAAGGAGTTCAAATATACAAGTACTTATTATTCCCCTGCTTATGTCATATTTTTTGGTATCCCACCAGCAAAAAAAAAAAAAAACAAAAACAAACTAAACCCCAAAATTTAAAAAAGGAAAGAAAGAAATTTAAACGGAAAGAAAAGAAAAGCCAAAAAATCACAGAGCCAAGTCCAGAGCAGTCTATTTGGTCCTAACGATTTGTTGTTGTTGTTGTTTTTTGTTTTTTGTTTTTTTTTTGAGACAGGGTCTCATTCTGTCACCCAGGCTGGAATGCAGTGGTGCAATCACAGCTCATTGCAGTCTCAGCCACCTGGACTCCAGCAATCCTCCCACCTAAGCTTACCGAGTAGCTGGGACTATAGATGCACGCCACAACGCCCAGCCAGTTTTTAAAATTTTTGTAGAGATGGGGGTCTGACTGTGTTGCCCAGGCTGGTCTCAAACTCCTGGGTTCAAGTGATCCTCCCAGCCTGGCTTCCCAAAGTTCTGGGATTGCAGGCATGAGCTACCCCTGGCTGGCTCTAATGATTTTATGTTGGAGTCCATTCAGGCTCAAAGACTGTGATTTTGTACATTACATCTGAATACAGAAAATGCTCCTCAGATGTAGTTTTTTGATCCTGGTGTCTGATGCAAAGTTTAGTACTTGCTCTGAATCACAGTAAGTATCAATGAGTGTTTGCCATCTTGAATGGAATCTTAATGCCAAAGATATGAAGCCATGGGGTGAGGACTTCTAATACAATCAGCTTCTGTTGATACAGAGACCCATGAACAAAAAGACAAGTTATCTGCTCCTCCTTACCCCACAGATAAAGCATAGAATAATGGAACAGGAACAGTATAACCACAATAGACATTCTCACATAGAAAGAAAATAAGTTGGAAATTTACAGCAATCACTGGTCCATAATGATTCTGACATCTAACTAAGCATATGTTTTTAGGAATCCTTACTTGGGGGCAGGGAATGCTCCTTAATTAAGGCTGATTCTGCTCTTCTGAAGTTGTTTTCTAATCTATTGTTGCCCATGGGCCTTGATTCTTCCCAGTGGGCTCTTGGTTCAGTTCTCTTAGAGCTTATTTTTCTTTAAGAAATATAATAGCTGAGTAATTTTATCAGCCAGTTTTCTGTATATAGAAAGATGAAGTCCCAGAGACCTCTTTTTATTTTAACCTCTCTTCTTTTTAGTCCAAACTTATGCAACTACCTGAAAAATTCTAATGATTTCTTGTGAGTGTGACTGGGATTCACATCCATAACTCTTTTTAAGATAAACTTCAGTCTAATTTGGGCATGTCAGTATGCTATGAGATAATGTTTTTTAAAATTTCTAGAAGCCCATTTGTCCAGCTGAGAGAGTCTACTAAAAATCACTTTTGATTTTTCTGAGGTCTTAAAAAGAGGACTATGTGCACTGGTTCATTCACAGGCCTCCTGGTACTTTGGGAGGCCAATGTAAGAGGATCCCTTGAGGTCAGGAGTTTGAGACCAGCTTGGGTAACATAGCAAGACCTTGTCTTTACAAAATATAAATAACTGGGTGTGGTGGCCTGTGCCTTAGTCCTAGCTACTCAGGAGTCTGAGGTGGAAGGATTGCTTGAGCACAAGAGGTAGAGTTTGCAGTGAGCTATGGTTTTGCCACTGCATTCCATCCCAGGCAGTGTTACAGTCTCACCAGTGCACCACAGCGTAGCAGTCTCATTGCCTGAGTTAGTACCCAGAGTCCTTTGTGTCAAGACCAAGAAAGTTAAGGAGCATGGACACCAAGGGTGAGGTTGGAGTGAAAGTTTAATAAGCAAAAGAAGAAAGCTCACCACCATTGCAGAAAGGGGACCCAGAAGAGGGTTGCCATTTTACGGTTGACTGCAAAGGCTTTTGTAGAAAACTGAAGAGGGCTGGGTGTCTCATTTGCATAATGTGTGAATTTCTGGTAGCTCCACCCCATCCTCCTAATGAGCATTAGCCCTTAGCTTGAGTTACTCCATGTTGTTGCTTTGTTCCCCTTACTGTGCATGTGTCAGGGGATGTTCCATTGTGGGGTATGTCTGGGAAAGTCACCTGTCTAGACTTTCTTATCTGTGTGGGTGTGGGCATGTCTTAGGCAAGCCCTCCAAGTAAGTTCCCATATCTGTACCTGCAGGCTGTTCTTCGGTTTGAAAGTATTCAACCGAGGACCCACCCTACCT
Source organism: Homo sapiens (assembly GCF_000001405.40). Taxonomy (NCBI): domain Eukaryota; kingdom Metazoa; phylum Chordata; class Mammalia; order Primates; family Hominidae; genus Homo; species Homo sapiens. Next base: position 64,966 of record NW_025791768.1, read on the forward strand.
GCCTGCCTGACTGGTTCCTTCCTTTCTCCTCTCTCAGCAACATGTGAGACCCCATCTGCAAAAAAAAAAAAATAAAAATAAATACATTGAATAAAATAAACTTTTTAAGAGATGTCTTATATGCATAATCTTGATTTGATTTTTTTTTCCCCGAGGCTATTTACCATACTGAGAATAGTTTTCCAACTGGAAAATCTGGAAATGTGAAATCATTTTATTTTCCAACCCTTAAATGTCCACCACTTCTTCATGCCTAATTTCCTGTTATAAACTAACCAGTCATCTCTTTAGCACGTCTGTCTCACTATGCATTGATATATGCATGGAAAAGAAGCCAATTGACACTTGTAACATTATGGCAAAAAGTCTCCTTAGCCAGAGCTAGCATTTCATCAGGTATAATTTTAGCTTCCATGTAATTGCATGTGACAGGTTTGCCAAATGTTTTGCTATTACAAAATATGGACTGTTATTTTTTTCTGCCACTAATAATTTCCCAAACCTATTTCTAACCTTTGCCAATAGTTTTTGTTGTTGTTGCTGCTGCTGTTTTGGTTTGATGTTTTTGCTATGTTCTGTTTTTGCCATTCCTTCAGGCATTGCCAACAGACCCCTCACACTTCTCAAGCCTCCATCTGTTGCCTATTTCCAAAGCCAATGCCACATGTTTTGGGTTTTATTACAGTCATGCCACACTTCTAGGTAATAATTTTTCTATCAGTTACCTAATAGTGCATAACAACCCTAAAATTTAGTGACTTAAAGCAATAATTTACTGTTTCTCATGATTCTGTGGGTTGGATGGGCAGTTCTCCTACTGGTTTCATCTGGGCTCATTTGAGTGGCTGACTGAACGTCTCTCTACATGTGGTCTTTCATTCTCTAGAAATTTAAACTGGGATTCTTCACAAGGTGATGGTAGCATTACCAGAGGGCAAACCCCAGTGTGAAAGTGCTTATTAAGCCTCTATGCTTGTCAAGTTCGCTGATGTCCTGTTGGCAAAAATGAGTCACATAACTAAGCCAAGAGTCAGTATGGGAGGAGACTGTAAAAGAGTGTAGACATCAGGAAGAATGATTAATTGGGAAACATTAATTAACAATATAACACATAAGCAATCAAGATAAAAGTGAAAAAATAAGAAATAGAGAAATTAGAGAAAAAAAGATGGCTTTAGAATATTGGGAAAGGAAAATAAAACGGATATTACAGATATTTAAAAATATAAGTCACCTTTTCTGAAATAAAAGGAAAATGAATCATATTGAAAAATTACTAAGAGAAAATTAATCATAAACACTAAGACATAATTTATATAAAAATGAAAGATGAATATTTTTATTTAGAAACAAGATGAATATAAAGTGAGTAAGAAGAAGAAAATAACAAGATGATTTTGAAAAGGCTGTTTCAGGCAACCACAACAAAAGATCAAGCCATGCGTACTTGGGGAGGCCATATGGCCTAGTTACCCTGAAACAGTTCCAGTTTATGCCTGTTGTTCTAAACATAAATAGTGGCCCCCTTCACTCTCAAAGTGTGGTTTAGATGACAATTTATAGTCAATGTTGTTCTAAGGGAAAAACAGTAAGACTTCCGACAGACTTTTTTACCGTAATATTCACTATCAGGAGACAATGAAGCACCAACTGCGACATATTCTGGAAAAGGGCACTTAACTACAACAAAACTTTTCTTCAAATTTAAATCTACAAATAGATGTGGCCCATGCCGGGTGACGTGTCAGAGCCCTGGCAACGGAAAGTGGTGGCTCGTGAGTAGTAAGAAGAATTTACTGCCAATAGTATAGGTTTGAAATAGAAAGAACACTGTGGAAGAGACAGCAAGTCACGTCAGCAAGTAAGGACTGAGCTCTCCATGGTAGATTTTTTCTTAGGGGTATTTATAGACCTTAAAGCGGGAGCTTAGGGGTAATTTGGACCATATTAGTCACATAGGTCATGAGAAACGATTCTGTTTGTAAACATTTTGGTGCCTTGATGTCAGCAAGGGTTGCACAATGAGTTTCAACAAACATGCATTCCAGAAATCTATAGACATTCTAGCTACTTATAATTTGTGGAAAAGAAGCCTGGTACCAGATGCTGTCTTTAGATAATAGGGAAGTCTAATTACTTATGAATTCCTCAGATAAAGAAATTTGCCGCTGGATGGTCTGCTTGATGGCCATCAGGTGATCTTTGCTCTCCTAAACCCAGGGAATTTTTAATGAAGAAATAATGTCTCACTTAATATTTTAATGAGGAGGCTATATCTTCTTGGGGAAACTTATGAAAGATCAACTGTAGCCAAAATAAAGATTTCAGAGGAAACTTCAATAAAAGGACTTGTCCTGACCATTAAATATCCTTAACTGTGATTCAGTCGAACCAAAAAGTATCAATATTGAATGTTTTACATGTTTTTAAAAAAGCAGAAATTGTAATACAAATATAGAGAAGAACAAAATGTTTTAAGAGGGATAAATTTGCTGATTGACTCATCTGTGCCTCATCTAAAAAATCAAAGATACTACTTTCACGTGGACAAATCAAATAGTAAAAAAATTAAGCAAGTTTATCAACACAGGAAAAGAATTAAGCAAAATAATTGTGTGGATTAAATTTAGATGGTGGAGGAAAGCAAGGAAGATGGGTAGAAGCGTCAGAGGTGTCCGAACCAGAGCAACTTCATCTTGAATAGCAGCTGTGTAAAATGAGGCTGAGACTTACTGGGCTGCATTCCCAGGAGGTTAGGCATTCTAAGTCACAGGATGAGATAGGAAGCCAGCACAAGATACAGGTGATAAAGACTTTGCTGACAAAATAGGTAAAGATGCGGTAAAGAAGCCAGCCATTCCCACCAAAACCAAGATGGTGATCCAAGTGGCCTCTGGTCATCTTCACTGCTTATTATACACTAATAGTAATGCATCAGCATGCTAAAAGACACTCCCACCAGCACCATGACAGTTTACAAATGTCATGGCAACGTCAGCAAGTTACCCTCTATAGTCGAAAAGTGGGAGGAACCCTCAGTTCCTGGAATTGCCCACCCCTTTCCCAGAAATTTTATAAATAATCCACCATTTGTTTAGCATATGTTCAAAAACTATAAGTATCTTTAGTCAAGTAGTCCATGCTGCTGCTCTGCCTATGGAGTAGCCATTCTTTTATTCCTTTACTTTCTTATTAAACTTGCTTCCACTTTACTCTATGGAGTTGCCCTGAATTCTTTCTTGCGTGAGATCCAAGAACCCTCTCTTGGGGTCTGGATTGGGACCCCTTTCCGATAACAAAAGGGAGTACAGGCATAATAAATTGCTGCTCATAGTAAGGAGTTAGTAGACATTGTCTAAAAAGAAGGGGCAAAAGTATTACAAAGAGATGTTAAAGATAACCACTCTAATCTGAAACACTAATCTTTAAAATATCTGAAGAGCTGCATTCAATACAAAGAAAACATACTCTATAGTAAACATAAACCAAAAGAAACCCCAAATAATATGACAGTAAAAGGAAATGTACCTGTTATATTAATAAATATAAAAGAGCTTAACTCACTTATTTAAAGAAAAAGGATTTGTACATAGAATTGCAAAACAAAACGCAACTCTAATTTGCATGAGACACACTTAAAGCAACTCAGAAGGACCAAAAGACAAAGAAAATAAGGACAGTTAAGTTATATCAGCTCAGTGCAAACACGAAAAAGCAGGAGTCTGATCTTAATTTCAGATAAGATAGACTTCAAGTCAAAAAGCATTATCTGACATATAGAAGAATAGTTTAGAATGTTAAGGGGTATAGTTGACAATGAAGATATAACAGTTACAAACACCTATGCACCTGAAATCATAGCAGTAATTTTCATAAATCGGAAATCATGACAGATACCAAGAATCGACCTGGAAATATTCAGAGACTTCTATTCACTCCCTTCAGACTAAGATGGAACAAATAGATAAAAGCACACTTAAGGATATAATATTAACAAAGTAAGCAAGAAGATGCATATATATATATATATGTTACTACTGTAACAATGAGAACATGCTTATGTGACAATTAAAAATTTTTTTTGACTATAAAGCCTCTATAAATCAAAAATTGGGGGATAGTATAGATAATATATTTTCTGATTCTGATGTAATAAATTTAGACATTGTAGCAAGATAGTAAAAAATACCTAGAATTAAAATTCTCCTCAAATATACTTAGGTTAAATATTTTTAAAAAGTACACACAAATCACAGAATTTCTGGATAACAACAATACACCAACCTATGGGACAGAGTTAAAATGGAGCTCAGAGGAAAATTCATAGCTCTAAATACTTATATTTACACAAAAGAAATAATAAAAATTTAATAACATTCTCCAACTAGATTTGTTTAAAAAGGAAAACTTATGCATATTTAATATTTTATATTTGTACAACTATATATGTCATTTTTAATAAAATATGCCTGGTTAGGAATTCTCAAAATCTAGTCAGAGTAGACTGATATAAGTCAAAAATCAAAAATCAGTGAGTCTGGGGAGCTTTTTGGAGGTCAAAATATTGTATGTCTGTTTTCTCTTATCTGTGGAGAAACTAGCCAGAATTCATTTCAACAACTCCCCAATTCTCATTCTTAATTAAAATCCTGCTTTGGGATTAGACTTTAATAATTCAAGTCAAGTTCGTAAACTTTATTACAGTAAATCAAATACTGTATTTGAAGACAATTGTGAAAATGGCGAAATATTAGTGTTAACGTATGCTTTATTAGGTAGATTTTTAACGTGGGAAAACATTTAGTTAAAATAAATGTTTTTTTCCCTTTTTTATCAAAAATGTAGTCAGTCCACATTGGGTAGTCTGAAAGTCATCTAGATCTAAAAAGTTATTGGTAAACTTGATATGTTTTAATTTAAATTACTCTTGAGAAGCAAATTGTCTTCTGTATTTTCATGTTTATTCTTTGTGTCTGCTGTTCCTCTATCAGGGTCCTTTCTCTTCCCACCAGCTCCTCTCTCTCTGATTATCTAAATCATATCCCTTCTTAAAGAGTTGTTCAAGTCTCTCTTTTTGCAGAAAGCTTTTCCAAAGTATTGAGGATCTACTAATATGTTTATTTGCTGATCTTCTATGCTTTTAATCTGTACCCTACATTCTGCCATTTTATCTTATGCCATTGTCTTCTATGCTTCATAATCTGCAATATAAAATCCTGACATTGTATGCCTATCAGAACAGACATGATACATACATGTAGGCAGTGAGACAATGACGTGATTTTAGAATTGCTGAAGCTCTTCTTCTTTGCAGATGGTTGCTTATGGTGTCTGAAGGCCCACCAGAAACAATTATACCATTGAATCAGAGTGTTTTCTCCATTTGGTTCAAATGAAACTCATATCCTGCTAAGAGTAGAACATATTAAAAGGGAAATTATTCTCTTATTGGTTCCTTTCCTCCCTCCCTCACAGTGAGGGTGACTGGGGGTTTTGAGCAGCATTATTATTTGATGATCTGGAGATTGCCATGATTGTCATGCATAGTGAAGAAAGAAAAAAATACTTTGAGAAAATCAGAAAAGAGTACAAAAAGGAATTTAGAGACATTAATGACAGTCTTTATCAATTTCAAAATTTCCCAGTAGCAAACCTGTCTGCTTTTATGTATAGTCCTATAATATTTTTTATTTTTTCTCCCTATGAACCTGAACACTCCTTATAGAGAAGAAATGTATCCAAAGATCATACTCATTTACAATATCTCATAGAATCTTAGACATACAGAAATTTCTGAGAATATGACTGTTGAAATAAAATGTTGTTATTTATATTTTATTTTATAATGGAAAAAAGTTTTGTTTTCCTAAATGAAAATATTATAAATATTTAGTTTACATAATTAATCTTAAAATTGCTAAAATTTTAAAAATGGGGGCAAAATACAAATTGAAAAAGAAAAAACAGCAAGATTTAGTATTTGGGTAAGAAACTGAGGGATCACAGTGTCAATGTCCACTCAAGTAACATTCAGTTAATGACTCTGGTGCTGATCAAGTCTCTTTTCTGCTGACCTTCATGGTAGAAAGTGTGATGGGGAAGGTTTGGTGTGTTGCACAGTTCTGGATTATTTGCAACTGAAATGATAAGACTGGAGAATGCATTGGCAATGAATTATTCATGGGAGTTTTCTATGTGGCAATTCAAGTGCTAAGCACTGAGTTTCAGTTGATATTGTCAAGGCTATGCTTGACAATATCAAAGTTTTTATTTTATATAAAAAATTCTTCCTTTGGCAAGAAACAAAAGGAGAGGGAAAGAAGACCTGAAAGAAATGGCCAAAGCAATGCTGTCGATTCTTCCCAGTGTATTTGTCATTTCCCCTATCCCTTTACCTTTTGGTGCTTTTCATTCCAGCAGAGAGGTGATCCTCCTCTTTTGCACTACTGTTGTGCAGTACTTACCTCTATCACAATCCTCAGCACATTGCATTGCACTTACTTGATTCTGTCACCTCTATAATATAGTATGCACCTTGTAGTAAAGGCTATGTCATATTCATCTATAGATCCTTAGCATCAAAGATAGAGCTTGGAACAAACTAAGCTAGTTTCCTCGAGTAAATAAATGAATGCTAGTTTCTTGAATAAACAAAGACTACACAGAGAGATAAAATGATTTGTACACAGAAATATAGGGTTCCTCTTAAACTGTCAAAGGTTGCTATGTATTCTGTAAAAAAGATACAAAATTCTGGGGTTTTAGGCCCAAGAGACGCAAGTCATAAAGACTAAGAAGGTGAAACACAGCTTCCCCATCACTTTGTGAGACTTTCAGTCTAAGAGGTGGTGTATATTGAGACAAGAAATGGTAAAAAGTTTTAAAGAAAGTAATGGGTTGTCTACACAGAGTTATTTAAAAATCACTGGCATATTCCAAAACAACTCATCTCTCTACTTGGAGGCCAACTTCTCGCAGAGAGAAACATTGTTTAGGTCCCAAAGTGCTGGACTCTCTCCCTGCCTCACAGAGGACTCAGATTCATGAGAGGGTTCTGGGACACTAGTAAAATCTTTTTTCATTCTTTCCTTTTGTGTATGTGTAAAATGGTCTCTCCAGAGCTGCCCTCTCTCTGGTTTTCTTTTTGTGTGTGGTTATTTCAGAGTTAGCTCAGTGCAGTCAGTAATAGTTGTCAAGATGAGAGAGAATTACTCCTTAAAAGACTTAGATTTTTTTTTTCTCTGAACCTTCCTTTTCACATCAGCTATTTTCATAGCTAATAAATTTTAAACTGTGAAAATTGCTTTGATCAATTATGTATTTAGGTTTTTCATAAACATGCTGATTTTATTACTTATGGAAACGATTAAGAACACATTTGTGTAGGATTTCTCTTGTACTGTCCCCGAGTGAATTCTTTATGTTTGCAGAGATTGTCCTATTTACTGATTTTATGAGGATCTTGCAGATATTATTTTCATGAAATAAATAAGGATGTAGGTATTGTTTAAAGAAACATTTTCAACACACAAATATCCATGCTGACAAATAATGGTTAGATATTCAGCAAAATTTCCATTTCAAGGTAAACAGGTAATTCTACACCTACCCCAAGACATCACAGGTGGTACTCAGGGGGTGCCTGTAGGTGGCAGCAAAAATGTTGCAAATTGTACCTACAAAATAATACCAACAGCATAATTAAAAGGAAAGGACAAATTAAAAATAACTTCATTGCCATGTTCAAAGTACTGTATATTTAGCTTTAGGCAACAGATTTATTTTAAAGACAAAAATAGAGCAGGCGTCACGTGCATCTGGGAATGGAAATTAGATAACCTCGCAACACAAAGGGCAAAAGGCATACCCTGTTACTTTATAAGACTGGAGTTTGGAAGCAGGCAATAAGAGGTTCTATAAATGCTTCAGCTCGCACTGAGGATAGCTCAAAGGCACATGGCAAAAGCTTGATATTTCAAATTGTGTTTTGCCTTGCGTCATTTCAGCTTAATTTTCCATAGCAATGAATTCAGAATGCTGAACACACATAAGCCACAGATCTGGGTTGCCCAGTACATTTTAGAAAAATCAAGCGCGATATAAATTAAAAAAAAAATACCTGTTTAAACTTGTTTTTAGGCATGAGTATTGTTCATAACTTCAGGCCAGAAAGAAACAGTCCTCTTCTTATGTCACATGTCAGGAGAGGTACAGCCTCTGAGTAATGAGAGACTAAAACAGCCTCAAACCTTGATTTCTATTGACCAGGTGGTGCTCTCTGGGAAGGTAGGTTTGGGGTAAATGGAATGTTAACTCATAACTACTAACTTCACAGTGGATCATGGCATTATTTTCCAGAGACTCATTGGTAAGTTGTGGGAAAATTGACTTGTGAAGTGGTAAGGTAGAAGGAAAAGTTGCTGGGAAAGTAATTCTAAAAAAAAGGAAGATACTAAACATTGGAAGCCAAGAGTTGTAACTATTCCAAGTTATGGTATCTACTGCGCTTCTATAAAGTGTGCATCTTGGGGCCTGGCAAGGTGGCTCACGCCTGTCATCCTCACACATTGGGAGGCCAAGGCGGGCAGATTGCTTGAGCCCAGGAGTTCAAGACCAGCCTGGGCAACACGATGAAACCCTGTTTCTACAAAAAATACAGAAAAAAAAAAAATAGGTGTAGTGGTGGGTGCCTATAGTCCTAGCTACTCAGCAGGCTCAGGTGGAGGATTGCTTGAGCCCAGGAAGCAGAGGCTGCAGTGAGCCATGATTGTACTACTGCATTCCAGCCTGGGAGACAAGAGAGATCCTGTCTCAAAAAAAAAAAAACCAAAAAAACCAAAAAAACAAAAAAAACAAGTGCATCATCTTGGTATGAATGATGATTTAAGAAATAGTAGAGGATCAAATGAAATATTTGATTTCAAGGATAGCTTCCCTGCAATTTCCTGAATTTCAACCACTTATTCTATGATCAAATTGTATACCTTATAATTGCTGATGCTATTCTCCAAAATGCAACCCAGAAATCATAATGTTGTCTCAGATAGATTGAGAGTAGCTGCTTAGTCACAATCGATATCATTTGAAGATACTTTTCTTTCTTGAAATTTGCCATCTTTGGGATATTTGTGATTACAACAAAGGAAGAAAACAAACTCTTGTGAGTTCTGAACACAAGTGAGGAAGCGCTCAGGGGAGCAAATGTTGAAAGACATTGTGCATTTCCTATCCCCTCTCTCCTTTTCCAAAAGGTCAAAAGGGTTCAGAAGCAAATGGTATCATTCCTGGCTCTTCATCTTATCTTGGTAGATCTCTCTGTTCTTAATAAAGTCCTCCTGTTTTGGTGATACGTATTGAAAAGTAGGATTAAGAGGTTGCTAAATGATACAGGAAAAGTATAATCAAAGTTGGAGGGGAGATTCAATCGGTGGAGTGACTTATTTTCTTTATGTAACTATTAATAGAATTAATATCAACAGGTGTTCCCAACTCCCAGGCTGTGGGCCTGTACCAGTTGTGGCCTGTTAGGGGCTGGGCTGCACAGCAGAAGGCTAATGGCTTCCAGCATCACTGCCTGAGCGTCACCTCCTGTCAGATCAGAGGTGAGCCAGCATTACCACCTGAGCCCCGCCTCCTGTCAGATCAGCAGCAGCATTAGAATCTTGTAGGCGCACAAACCCTACTGTGAGCTGTGCGTGCAAGGGATCTAAGTTGCGTTTTCTTATGAGAATCTAATGCCTGATGATCTGAGGTGGAACAGTTTTATCCCAAAACCATCCCCCTCCCTGCTCACTGTGAAAAAATTATCTTCCACGAAACTAGTCCCTCATACCAAAAAGGTTGGGGACTGCCACACTAGAGGACAGAAAATGACAAAAAACTTGAAAGAGAAGGTGGTATAATTCTTTTGTGTTACCTGGAAATGGTGAGTCACAGCAATATAGTAACAAGGTCCTTGGGAGTATGATAGAATGGTAGAAGAGAATGACCCCCAATTCCTATTATGGTTAAGTTGTTTTGCCTTGCCTTGTTTTTACATTTGTTAAGAGTGATGCTGTTGGATAACTGATATACAAAGAACGGCACATATTTAATGTGTACAATTTGTTGAGTTTGAGCATATGCAAACACTTACAATACCATCACCATGATCAAGGTAATAGACAATAAAGCTGTTACAAAAAGAACTAAATTGACGTTTGGTTCTGGCTTGTAGCTGCTCTCCTCTTTCCTTTCTACATGAACATTTTCAATCAATGTCAAATGTTCTATTAAAAAAAGAATCAAGATGTTTTAGTTCATTCTGGCTACTATAACAAAAAGACCATATGCTTGGGTGGCTTATAAACAACAAATTTATTTCTCACAGTTCTGGAGGCTGAGGGCCTCTATAAATGGTGAGGGCCAGCTTCCTGGTTCACAGACAATCGTCTTCTCTCTGTGTCCTCACATGACTGAAGGAGCGAGGGAGACCTCAGGTTTCTTTTATAAGGGCACTAATCCTGTTCATTAGGGTGAAACCTAATCACCTCCCATAGGTAGGCTCCACCTCCTACTACATCAGGTTGGAATTAAGATTTCAACATTTTAATTTTGGAGGAACAAAAACATTCAGGCTATAGCACAAGGTTATGCTGGCCTGATAAAAAGTAAGAAAGAATTCCTTTTCTATTTTGTAAAAGAATTTATAAAATATTTGTTTTACTTCTTCCATAATAGTTTTGAGAATTCACCTGTGTGTCCATTGAACCTGGGGTTTTTATTATGAGAAATATGTCTTTTAATGGATAACCTTTAAAGCAAATGTAACATTATTCAGAAAATAAAAATAATCCTGAATTCCATCACAAGGGAGTCAGGGAGGACATAGCCTTGGCTTTATACATACAAACTGTTGGTCCCAGGGCTTGGTTTCTGAGAATATCATAGTAAAGGTAGTATAGAAGAGTCTGGGACCAAGTTCAAGCTGGAGTTTGAAAGGGCTAGTTGCTAGTTAGATGCTAAAAAGAAGAAAAGCCCAGAAGGCAAAAGGGAGTATTAAGTTTGAAGAGTACAGCCAGGAGCTCTGAGTTGGCAGAGATGGGATTGGAGAGAGAGCAGGTGGGGAGCGAGTGAGGAGGGCTCTGAATAATCACAGCAAATAGCTTTGGGCAAATGCAACTTGCTTTATCAGCTGGTGGGTGGTGGTGCAAGAGAGAGTCTGGCTGCCTGAAAAGGCCAGATCCCTCTCTCTAAGCAGCAAACACATTAACGTCACACGTCGAGCTGAGAATTTTATCCACTTTTGGGAACTGTGGAATTGCGTTTCCACCTTGGCACGGCCTCCTATTTTTGACACATAGTGATTTGATATAAATTGTCATCTCCCGGAGACAACCTGACAACAAATACTGCTAATCATTTCATTCTGAACTGCGCCTGGATGGCGGAGAGTAATTAGACACATGCCTGTTGGAGACTCTGCATTATGAAGTGCATGGGAATTTGCTTTGAAGGGGAGAAACAATTAGAGACGGAGATTTACAGAAGACTGTAAGAGGCAGGGAGTCTCTTATGTTTTATTTCCTAAAGCCACAAAAATTCCTATAAAATCCCTACTTAGCTCACATTCTTAAGCTAGAGATCAAGCCTTTTGAAGAACAGGCATACCTTAAAATCAATCCACATGGCGTTGCTAGGATCAAAGAAAAGATAATGCTCTAGGGGCCCCTGCTGCTTGAATTGTTGACCCAAGTAAACCCCAGCTGACTTGCAGGAGTTAAAGTAGTCTGGAAAAATATTATCTGGAATCCATCCTCCTCCTTAGATAGATGTTTTTTGGGGTCAGAGAATGGAATCTCTTCTATAGCTGACCCTGGAATTTTACAGATCCCTGAATCTTATTCTAAGGAAAGTGGGACCAATGTGTCCATATTATAATTGATATTTTGCAATTACATCTTCATGGCATTCAAAGAAGTCATCTTTTGGGAAAACTTGTTTTATTTTTTTCTCAGATAAGGTAAAACCTGTCATGAATCTAAGGAAGCATTTGTGCAGCTGGTGATGGAGCACCTACTTCCTGGGGCATGGGTGACACAAACAACTCCGTGTTCCTAAACATGCTTTAAATTGAGACTCTAGTAACTGCTCTCCTTTTCTTTTACATCACATTTGCATGATCCCATGGATGGCTGACCACAGAATATTTGTATGGCCTTTGAACTCAGAAATCATGCTTTGTTTTGGTGTCACTACTAATTAAGATAATTAGAAAACTTTTAGGTTTTCAGAGTTTCTGTTATCCCTTTTCCTCCAAAATTCTAAGTATTGAGTCTCCATCCTATATGTCCAGAAAATTATTGTATTATTAAAATTATTATGTCTCCATTAGCATTTCTAGGCATCTTTGAGGGGAAACTAACATGTCTGGGGTGCTACCTGCCACCTTTTGCTCTTGCCTGATGTTCTTTCTTTCTCCTGATTACCTGGTGGTCTCTGAACTTGTTCTAATCTACTTTGGTCCCAATACTTGAAGAGGCGTATGACAACTTCCTTCCAAAGCATCATGAATAAAAGTTGTTATTGTTAATTTCTAAGGTATGAAGATAAAAAAGGGAATCAGAATGCAGAAAAGATATTAAAAATAGACATCATTAGATATGACAGCTCCTAAAATTTGCCATCCAGTCCTCTTCACAGAAACCTCGACTGTCATTTTTATGACACAGAACACAGAGTTGCGCTTAACCATGCTCCTCCCTCAGATTACAGCTCCTTTCTTGGTCACTCATGGCCAAATCCCAGGGTCCTCTCTTGCGGAATATCCCAAATCCATAGCTCCACACCTTGAAGCAAGTATGATGTTTAGAGCATTTTCTCTTTCACTTTTTTATTTTTTTCATCTGTGTTGTTTTAGAGCCATTCTTTCACATAGAAAAGGCCCGTGAAAACATTTTTCCTAATCAGAGAATAAAGCTAAAGAATAATTACACTTTCACCTCTAGAACAATAACATCGGTCACATGGCTTTAAAAACAAGCAAGTTTTGCAACTCTTCTGATTAATACTAATAATGACCATATTAATTAATCCTCCAATTCCAGCAGGAACTTCAGTAATTCTGACTGGCCTTTTACTTTGCAGCTGTTGGCTTCCTTTTCCATTTCCCTAAAAGCAATCTTTAAATGTTTACTACTTGAGGGGAATGATAAACCACACTCAACTCACTCAAACCCACTCAATAACCCACTCAAACCACAAGCCCAGAACTTGTAGTGCAAAATCTATTTTTAATTTGGGGAAGGTGGTTGAATAGCTTTTGCATGATTACCCTCAACTTTCAGCCCTTCTACAGTGTATTTAAACTTACCCATATTCCCATCACAGTTACTTCTTCCCTACAGTTTTAGAGAATGAGCTTCTCTTCCAACCCAAGGGTACATCCTCTATGTGTGCTCTGGTGTTTTGTTTTTTGTTTTTTTTTTCCTGTGAACTCCCTCAGCTTGCATCTACATTGTGTACGATCTTTCTCTTATTTTTTGGCCTGTATCACTGCAATGGTTACTTCCTGTAATGATTAGCCACATTTAGGTGGTGGTTGTTTTTTCAATCCTAATATTGACCAGTACTTATATTCTTGAGTTGAACGCACTTGGTCTCAATGTGTTATTCTTTATGCTTTATTCCTTTATACATTTATTTTACTGCCAAATTCTGTCCAGTACTATTGTATGTAACATTTTTTTCATCTACATTTTTAAGCGATAGTAGATTAGAGTTTTAACTTTTGGTACTACCCTTACTGTTTCAACATCATAGTTTTGCCAGTCTTATAACCTAAATTGGGAGGCTTTCCATCACTGTATTACCCAGGAATTAACTGGATAATTGGATGAGGATTTAGAACCTAACTTGTATTACATAGTAATACACTGTTGCCTAAAAATTTGGCAGAACCCAGCAGCAGATATACACTTAGTAACATTTTAGACATATAGTTGACATCTTTAGAATATTTTATGTATTTTTCTATTTAGTTTTATCCTTCTTGAATACATTTAAATCATTTTTGTTTGTTGCTTTTCACTTTAAATTTTATTTTTGTAGTAAAATCTGTATCTGTATGCCTTTTTTTTTCTTCCTGCTTGTCTTTTCCTGTTGTAGCTTTTTTTTGCATTTATTTTCACATACTGACACATTGTTTTAGGCATCACCCCTGTAATTGGAATACATGTTTTTTCTTACTTTGACTGTGGTTCTCTGTTTAAGAAAAAAAAATAATCGATTTAAACCTGTGAATATAGTTTATGTTTATCATTTTTTTATTTCAATTTACTCTTTTTTGTTATGTTGTTAATTTCTTCTTTCCGCTCTTCTTTTCTCTTTTTTTTCAGATCAACATAATTTTTCTGGCAACTTAACATACTAATTATCCCTATAGTGCTTATCATAAACATTTAACATACATTTTTCATCTTATATTTCTTAAACATTGATCTAAGGTCAATTTTTAGACATACTCCTAGATAAAGGCTTCAAGTGCTTATAATTACCTCTTATTTCCTTCCCTGATAACTTCCTATGTTAAGATTATTTGGCATGTTATTTCAATCTTTTTATATATCACAAAGCTTTACTGTGTTATTAGTGTCTTTACTCTTATATCTCATATTTTCTTATTCTTCAATTTATTTTTAATTTTAATAGAATATACAATATACAGGCATGCCTCAGAGATGTTGTGGGTTAAGGTTCAGACCACCACAATAAAGCGAATAGTATCATAAAGTGTCGTGTGAATTTTTTGGTTTCCCAGTGCATTCAAAAGTTATGTTTACACTATCCTGCAGTTAATTAAGTGTGAAATAGCACTATGGCAAAAAACCAATGTACATATCTTAACTTAAATACTTTATTGCTAAAAAATGCTAACAGTCATCTGAGCCTTTAGTGAGTCCCAATCTTTTGGCTGGTGGAAAGTCTTGCCTCCATACTGATGTCTGCTGACTGATCAGGGTAATGGTTGCTGAAGGCTGGAGTGGCTGTGGCAACTTTTGAAAAGATGAGAGCAATGAGGTTTGCCACATCAATTGACTCTTCCTATCACAAAAGATTTCTGTGTAGCATGTACTGCTATTTGATAGCATTTTACCCACAGGAGAACGTCTTTCAAAATTGGAATCAGTCTTCTCGAACCCTGCTGCTGCTTTATTGACTGTTTGTGGAATGTTCTAATACCTTTGTTGTCATTTCAACAATGTTCACAGCATGTTCACCAAAAGTAGATTCCACCTCAAGAAACTTTCTTTGTTCATTTCTTAGAAGCAACTTTTCATTCATTCAATTTTATTATGAGGTTGCAGCAACCCAGTCAGTTCTCCATGCTCCACTTCTAATTCTAGTTCTCTTGCTATTTCTCCCACATCTGCAATTAGTTTTTTCCACTGAAATCTTGAACCTCTCAAAATCATCTATGAAGTTGGAATTAGCTTCTTCCAAATGAAACTGGAAAGTTCCCTGACCTCCTCATGGGACTTCTAACAGGAGTGAGGCTCATTTGCTCTGCTTCCTCAAACCCCTTATGGCAGGGGGAACATGAAGACAGCCCGGTGCAGGAGCCAGGGCAAGTGCTTTTGAGCTCTGGCCCCGTAGTAGAGTCTAGCGGTGTGTTGCAATTAGTTTTCTTTCAGCAGTTGCCATTTGCAGATGGCTAAATGTTAAACCAGCTCAGTGGAGAGTCAGGATGACAGCCTTTTACACCCTGCCCTCTAGATATTCAGGTCCTTGTCCGGCATCCAGGAAGAATTAGGTCACCTGGACTTAAAGGATGGTGAATGCTGAGATTTCACTGAGTGATGAAGGTGTTTCTCAGTGGGATGGATGGGGAGCTGGAACAGGGTTGGAGTGGAACGATGATCTCCCCTTGGAGTTCAGCCGTCCCGCATCCAGTCTCCTCTCAGACCATCCCCAGCCGAACTCCTCTCGATGTTCAGGTGCTCCTTCTCTTCTCTCCTTCTCTGACATGCCACTCTGCAGCTCCTCTGCTCTTCTGTACCTCTGCTCGTGGAGCTTGGGGTTTATGTGGGCACAGCATAGGGGTGTGGCAGGCCAGAGTGGTCTAAGAAAAGGCAACCTTTGGGTGCTAAAACAGGAATGCCTGTTCTCGGGGCCAAAGGTTTCCAGGCTTGAGGGTAGGGCCTTTGCCAGGGAACCACCCTCTTCTATCCAGTATTTCACTGCCTCCTGTCTGTATCACAAACTCCTGTTAATGTTGACATTTTGACTTCTTCTTATGAGTTATAAATGTTTCTAATGACATCTTGAATGGTAAATTCTTTACAGAAGGTTTTCAATTTGCTTTGCCTAGATCCATGAAAGGAATCACTATCAATGGCAGTTATGGTCTTACAAAATGTGTTTCTTAAATAACAAGACTTGAAAGTCAAAATTACTTATTGATACATAGTTACAGAATAAATGTTTTGTTAGCAGGCATGAAAATAACATCAATCTACTTGCACTTTTCAATCAGAGCTCTTGGTTTATTAGGTCCATTGTCAATGAGAAGTAATAAACTAAAGGGAATATTATTTTCTGACTGGTAGCTCTCAACATTGGACTTAAAATGATCAGTAAAACATGCTCTAAAAAAATGTGCTGTTGCTCAGGCTTTGTCGTTCCATTTTTAGAGCACAGGCAGAGTAGATTTAGCATACTTCTTAAGGACCCTAAGATGTTCAGAATGACAAATGAACACTGGCTTCAATTTAAAGTCACCAGCTCACCAGCTGCACTGGCCTCTAAAAAGAGAGTAAGCTTGTTTGGTGAAGCCAGGCATTGACTTCTCCTTTTTAGCTAGGAAAGTCCTAGATGGCATCTTTTCCAACAGAAGGCTGCTTCATCTGCATGGAAAATCTACTGTTTAGTGCAGCCACTTTGATCATTAGTCTTAGCTAGATATTCTGGGTAACTTGATGCTGCTTCTGTATCAGCACTTGCTGATTCACCTTGCAGTTTCTTGTTATGGAGATGGCTTCTTTTCTTAAACCTTGTGAACCAGCCACTGTTAGCTTCAGGCATTTCTTCTGCAGCTTCCTCCTTCTTATCTTCATATAATTGAAGATAGTTAGGGCTTTCATCTAGATTAGGCTTGGGCTTAAGGAAATCTTGGGGCTGGTTTGATCTTCTATCCAGATCATTAAAACTTTCCATATCAGCAACAAGGCTATTTTGTTTTCTTATTATGTGTGCGTTCACTGGAGTAGCTCTTTTAAATTTTCTCAAGATTGTGTTCTTTGCATTCACAGTTCACCTAAATATTTGGTACAAGAATCCTAGCTTTCAGCCTGTATCACCTTTCAACATGTCTTCCTCATTAAGCTTAATCATTTTTTGCTTTTGATTTGAAGCAAGAAATGTGTGACTCTTTCACTTGTACACGTAGAGGCCATTGTAGGGTTATTAATTGGCCTAATTTTAATATTGTTGTCTCAGGGAATAGGGATACCTGAGGAGAGGGAAAGAGACAGAGAAATGGCCATTGGTGGAACAGTTAGAACACATACATCTATGTGTTAAGTTCACTGTCTTATATGGATGTGGTTCATGGTGACCCAAAACAATTATAATAGTAACATCAAAGATTACTGATCACAAGTGATAATGAAAAAGTTTGAAATATTGCTAGAATTACCAAAATGTGACGCAGAGACATGAGGTGAGCACATGGTCTTGGAAGAGTGGGACCTATGGACTTACTGGACACAAGTTGCCATAAACCTTCAATTTATTTAAAAAAATGCAAAATCTGCAAGCAAAATCAAATGAAGTATAACAAAATGAGGTATATCTGTCTGCCCAATCAATGTTTTTAGAGAGTATGTGTAGGTAAAAACCTTTTATGACCACACACACACACAAAATGTCTGGGTTTGGTTCTTTCTCAAGTTCTTTTGGCCTAGGTCTAAAATTTTAGGTTTGAGATCATTTTCTCTTCCATTTTTATAGAGATGACTCAAAAAACTTCCAATAACTGTAATGCTAATAATTATTTGCTTTATCTTTTCAACTTGAATGCTAATCCTTTTCTCTACAAACATGTTTTAGGCCTTATCCTTTGATTAATGTTCTAAAATTTAACTTCTGGGCACGGTGGCTCAGGCCTGTAATCCCAGCACTTTAGGAGGCCAAGGTGAGTGGATCACCTGAGGTCAGGAGTTCAAGACCAGCCTGGCCAAGATGGTGAAACCTCATTTCTACTAAAAGTACAAAAATTAGCGGGGCATGGTGGTGTGTGCCTGTAGTCCCAGCTACTCGGGAGTCTGAGGGAGGAGAATCACTTGAACTTGGGAGGCGGAGGTTGCAGTGAGCCAAGATCATGCTATTGCACTCCAGCATGGGTGACAGAGCAAGACTCCATATTAAAAAAAAAAAAATTCAGTATGTTTAAGTATGGTCTTGCCTTTTTTTCCCCAATTTTTTCTTCTTGGAACTAAGTATTTTTTTCAATTCAAAAGTTTATATTTTCTTTCAATTTTGAAAAGTTTTTGCTTTTATCTTTATTATATATCACTTACAGTTGTTATTTTCTGGAAATCATATTAAATATATCATAGAAATTTTATATATATCTTCTATGTCAATTAAGTTTTTGTCATATAGTTTGTTTAACATGCTGCCTTCTGGGGGAATTTCTCTGCTCCTTCTTCTAACTCCATAATTTGTTCCTTAGTTGTGTTGGAGAAATATAATTAAAAACTCCTGTCACCCCAGAAAACCTCTCCACAAAAATAGAAGAGAAAGATATCAGTTTAATTATTGAATAAGCATTAAATCAGAATGTGATTTGTGTTACAGACAATATTCTAAGGTCTCCAAAAACAAAGACAAAAAGAAATCTTACCATTTTATACAGCCCAGAAGATACAATACATTACGTATGAGTTCTTAAGATAAACAATAACTAGTCCTCAAGTAAGAAGATTTGATAGCACCATTTGTCACACGTACTTCAGGTTAAATTCACTTGGTAGTTTTGTTGACTAGGTATGTTATGCAAAGAAAAAAATACACTTTTCATGTCTGTATGACAGAAGGTCATCATGCAACTTGGTGGAACTCGGCCTACCTAAGTTATACTCTTACTCTTCCACAGAAAACAGGAGAAGCGGCACTATTTCTCTGGATGATTCCATTTAAAAAAAAATGGCTCCTAGGTACTTGATACAGATATTCCTAGGTTGTAAGGCTGGAAATAAACTTATTTGCCTTTTAGAAAGATTTACACACATTTCAAAAAGACAGAGTAATCACTTGCAAGTAAAGTTTTCTAAAGTAAATGCTCTAATAAATGGAAAGGGGGAGTCTATTCCTTTATTTTCAACAGGGAGAATTAAGCCTCTTTGTATTAATTTGTATTTGCCCTTACAGTTGTCTTGATTTTCATTTTCAATATTTCTAACTGATTGTGTTTTTCATTTTGGTTTTTCTAGAAGCCTGTAATCATTTTATAAATATAATAGTTATTTGAGGTTCTTTGACAATAACACTTTTACTTATTTTGTGCTTACCTGATGCTTGTACTCTTCAACCTAGTTTTCAGTTCATTGGGTTTAGCTTGGTGTTTCTCTTCCATGATTCTTTAACCATATTTTTTTGTTGAGGATCTCTGATTACCTCCTTGTAAATGGAAGTTCTGATTCTAGGAGTTTTCCTTTCGTTATGTTCAATGGGAAAGGACATGCTGATGTGTGGAATTTGCTGACAATTTCTAATATGGGCTTGATATTCGCTGTACTTCTTCTTGGATTAGGAAACCATCTGGGGCATATTCTACCAGTCCAATTACTTATCTGGCTTATCTGGTTTCAAGCACAAGCAATGACCACTGTTAAGCACAAGCTGGAGAAATGGAAAGGATACATGAACCTCATTATTTCAATGAAGTTCTAATAACAACCTTCCTGACAATTATTGCTAGATCATGTCCAGCTCCTTCTGTTACTTGAATCTAAGTTTGAGTCCCATGTGCCTGGCGCAATTAGTTATCCACCATCAGCCCTTTATTTCTTACTATGAGAAACTTCATTTTTGAGGAGGTGCTGTATCTAGCCCCAGAGTGTGAATGATTATTTGTTTACTTCTTCGTGACAGGCTCTATTGTCTTTGTCTGTGCTTGGTCAAGAAGTGAACATGTCGTGTGAATCTGGCTGTAAAGGACATAAGTACTAAGAAGTATGCTGAGGTTTTATGGGAAGATTTTTCTCCTTCCTCCCTTATAAAAGAAAGAGCTATGTAAGAAGAAGATCTTTCCTCCCTGCTTCCTTTTTCTCCTGCCTCGGGGGTTTTATGTGAGGAGATGGTGTTTGGAGTTATAAGAAATTTTCAATGACCTTGATAAGATGAAGATGTTAGCAGAGAAGTAATGCAGCAAGAGCTTGAAGGTCCTTGATGCTGTAGTGAACCCACAGAACAAACCTTAGAATGGCCCATATCCAGACACTATTGTAAGTGAGTTGATGATAAAACTGTTTTCAATGCCCTTATTTGTAGCTCAACACACTCCATTCCATTCACTGTCACTACATCAACAGCTCTTATTGTTGGGAATGCGTTTTGAACTGTCATTGCCTATGATGTTTCTCTATAGATCTGATATGATTTGATTTTTATCATTCAGGAACTCCCCATCCTTCATCTGATTGGGAGCACTTTTTAATGTTTTCAGTCTTTTTTATAGATTTATTCTTAATAAGAATTATACAAAATTTGTGTATGCAACTCTTCTGACATAAAAGGGGTTTGGAGCAGAACGGGATAGAAAAAGAGACCCGGTCTGTGTCTCTCTACCATTGTTTTCAGAAAACAGAAGTTATTTCCTTTCAAGGTCCAGCTACGTTATCATCTCCTCTAATAATATTCCTGTGATCTATCCAAATTTCTGTTGTACACTGTGTATGCCTCTATTGGGATTTACCACACAGTATTGAAATTGTCTTGCCTTTGGATTATGAAGCTCTCCTATTACACCTTATCTGTTACTTATATTTTAATTTAGCAAAATGGCTTATTCATTGTCATCTCTTCAAACTTTTTATTGAACTGAACATACTCTGGTTCTTGAGAGATTTATTTTCTACAAGGAGCTTAGAATCTACAATGGCACTTCTTATCAAATTCCGAATTTTTTCTTCTTGACTTCATCCTAACTACTTGAATCTAAGAGATTGGTACTTAGATCTTCCAGATAAAACTTGCATGGAGAATTTCACAAAAACAACTATAAAGTGACCTTCTTTGTCTTCTCTTATTTTTCTTACTTAGTCCGTCTTTTGTATTTCTCTGTTTATCAATTAGATTACATCTGGAAGTTTTTATTGATGTGATATTAAATGATTTGCAGTTATAACTTCCAACCATCTGTATTGAATTTGGTTAAGTTTTCAGTTCAAGTAAGTTCATAAAAGCTCTATGGGAACCTATTATGTTATCACATAATAAGTCTGTGCCAAATTTGAGTACAGATGCCAATTTCTCTTTGTTAGGGAACACGTCTATATTTCTATCTATCTGTACATCTTTTGATAGATATCTAAATAGATATATTTATATCAAGATTTTGATGCAAGTACTCTCAAATGTGATAATAGGATTTTTCTAAGTCTTTTTCTAAAAAGGAAAAAACTACATGTATCCGTTCTATAGCTAAAAATCTATTAAGTGGTATATCTTAGTTAAATTAGCATTATCTATGGTAATAGACAGTTCTTGAAATCTCAGGCACTTAATGCATACACATTTACTTCTCATTTAAAATTCAATCGGTGAATTTATTTGGCCATGCGATGCAGTGATGCTTATGAAGTCATTCAGGAACCCAGTCTAAAAAAGTCTACATATTTAATATGTGGTTTTTATGTCACCATGAGCTAAATAATTAGTATAGATTATGAAGCAGATAGAGAGAGGGGGAGAGACAGGGAAGGAGGGAAAGAGAGAGAGAGGGAGAGAAATTCATGTCAGATATAAATTATACATGTTTTATTGCTTACATCTCAAAATAGCATACATTTTTCTGAGAGAGATGAAAAATGGAAGACGGAAGCTGTTTGCAGGGAAGGCTGGGAAACGTAGCCTAGCTGTGTCCAAGAAAGAAAGCCTGGTTTTAGAGAATACACTGAAGTCTCTGCCACACACCTCCACCAAGTGGTCACAACACCTGGTCAAAGGCAAAGAGTGTGTGTGTGTGTGTTTGGGGGAGCCGGGGTGGTGGGGGGCTCAGGCTCAGCTTCTGTTTTTCTCTGCTAACTTTAAATCTCATCTCCATTTATTTTAATAAAACTTTCCTAATCTGGCCAGCTTGGGGAAATTGACCGGACTAATACATACAAAGTTAGAAGTGAAAATGGATACTTTACTCAGCAGGTGGCTCTCTTCAAATTCTCTGAGCTCCAATGATCAGTATATGAGAATGTATTTTATCTTATTAGCCTCTGTAATGAGCTACCAGTCAACAAAGATAATGCTGTATCCATTTATTTTTTTTTCTCTTTAGTTTAATGAGGAAAGAGAGAGAAGTTATTCTGTTGGTGGCGTAACCATTAGCCAACTGCAAAAGTTTTCCAAGATAAATTGAAGAGGACAGGAGGTGGTGGTGGTGACTGGTTATGTGAATTTTCTTTTTTCTCTGATTTTTAATAAATAAAAGTTATGAGGTATTGATAGAAAGGCATCAAAGTAATAAACTAACCACTTGAAGAATCAGGAGCTGGAGCAATTAATCATATACAGTTTTTCTTCCTAGCAAAAAAGTCAGAATTTTATTTCTCCTCTTCCCTAGTTTTATAGCATGGTGGTATGGATGTGTCACGGGTTTTATGTTTAAGACGTATTTAGATTCAAAGCCTTAGTGTTCTTCTTCTTACTATTAAACATTTGAAAAATGACCTTTATTTCTTGAGCCTCCATTTCTACATCTGTTATATTGGTACAACTATATTTATGTATAATATATTTATATAACAAAACTGCTTGGAGGATTGGATACACTAAGTTGGAGCACCTAGCATGCACCTGTCTCCCAGCAAGCACTCTGGAAATGCTAGTTCTTTTTGGCTGGAGAAATAAAGAACAGAGTATCTTTCCGGAAAGTATTCTGCATGAAATATTGGGAGTGTAAAACTGCTCAGACTGTTTCTTCAACATTTATCGAAACACTACCACATCCAGCAGGCATTCCATTCTTGGTGATCCCAAAGCACTTGCACATACTTCTTTTAAGATATTACACTTCTACACACCAGCCTTTGAGCACAGGGTCTCTTTAGACTGTGAAATTCTAAGTAGATCACGCGTTCTCTTCTTCACGATTCCCTCTTAATTCAGTAAGAACTAAGTGACAGCTGTGATTTTTTATTCCGGGCACTATGCTAGGCACCATAGGGGTAAAGACTAGAAAGGCAGGTATCTACTTTTACAGAGTTTATTCTCTACAGCACCTTGCTCAGCCCCTTTTTCGTAGTATGTTTGAACCTGGCCCTGGAAGCCTGGGATTGTTCAAACATATCTGGTTAAGGAAATCGTATTTATGTTCAAGCCATGAAGACAAAGAAGATGGAAACAAATAGATGAGGGCCCCCTTCTTCACTCTACTATACCAAACCTGAACCATGGCCAAAGGGAACAGAGTGGGAGAGAGGCAGCCGGTGGGGATTGCCCAGCCAGCCTCCTAAATTGTTCCCAGTGCAGAATAGCTGTGCTCTTGGCCTCATTGCTTCCTGTCACAGCTCCTAATATACCATACACAGATTCATGGTGTGACCCACTATGGACACTACAGCAATTACTTTTTATACCACTAGTTGGAAAAAAAAATCCAAAATACATCAAGGAATATTCTCCATAAAAAGAATAACCGTTTAAGAAAACATATAAAGTGGGACCCAATGAATATTCCTACCAACAAGCCCATCATATTTAGCTTAAATGTGGGCATTTTTAAGGTGCCTGGAAAATTCACTCACACCTTGTGCATTGTGTTTGATACAGTTTTGAAACACATCCCTGCAGGCACCTCTATGAAAACAGAACAAGGAAATAAGTTGGCAGATAGAAAAGAAAACAGGAACTCAGAGGTGAATCAGGGCTGCTTGCTCAGGCTCAAGCAGTAGCAGTGGAATATTTATATTTTTGAAGGTAATTTTCTTAAAAAACTGCTTGTCTGCACATTAATTTGTAGTTTCTGTCCTTTTTCTGCACCAAATGTACCAGATTTGGTAATTAACTTTTTAAGCCGAGTTCAGCAATTTATTGGGCTTAGTTTGCAGTCTAGAAACTGATCACATACCTACCCTGACAAGACAGTCTTAATGAGTCTGAAGCCAGGAGCTGAAGCCCTGGATGAGCTAATTCTGCAACCTGAGGCCCTGAGCCAGTTGCTGGAAATTATCCCAAATGGATTCTGAATCTTCCCACCTGCAGCACAATTCCCTCATGTATGCCCCTCCCAGAGTTGGATGGCGTGGCACCACTGAAATGTCTTCAGAAGACTTTTTTTTTCTGTATTTTAATTGCATGTTAGGATAAAATAATGTACAGGTCTGCAATAGTTATTGCTCTGTTGAAATGGAGAAAAGAACCCTACATAATATTGAAGAAATTACAAAGGTCAAAAGATTCTCCCTCAGGCTATTTTATGGTACAGAGAAGCAGTGCTTCTGAACACATAATGAACACCACAATCTCCATTTGGATTGGGAGGAAACCCCCAGCTCCCAGCAAAGGTGTTCTAATGAGATACTGTATTAGTATAATACTGCTTTCAAAGCAATCACCAGCATGCTGATGGTTCCCTGGGCAGGGCTGATCCATGAGCCTTATTTGTAACAAGATGAAGGCATATTTGACA
Source organism: Homo sapiens (assembly GCF_000001405.40). Lineage (NCBI taxonomy): Eukaryota > Metazoa > Chordata > Mammalia > Primates > Hominidae > Homo > Homo sapiens. The sequence continues at coordinate 89,852 of NW_025791768.1, forward strand.
GGAAAAATTGGTTTTCAGAAAGAAAGACGTCACTGGGATGTGCACCACTGAGCCCAAAGAACCACTGCCCCTGCCTGAGGCTTTTAGCAGCTTTGTAATAGATAAAATAAAAAATCAGAAATCAGAAAGATAAAGCAAGATACCTTGACACGTTTCAGCATATGAAGACATAAAGATACTAGTTTTTCCTGTGACTCAAATCTTTATGAACAAAATCATTACAACTGGAACAGAGGCTGTACTGGATCCAGGACCACCTCTGGGGCCTGCGAACTTTAACCTGACAGCCTCACCGGAGATGTGCAGTGCCTTCTCACTCTATCCACAAAGGGCTGGAAGTTCAGGTTGAAGAATTCTACCTTCATAGATAGAGAAAACAAGAGACAAAAAAAAAAGGGACTTCTGTCAGCTCACATAGTCAGGGGACTAGAACCTGTTCTTTATTAAAGAAAAAGGGCTAATTGACTGTCTCCAAAGTATTTATTGAGCCTGTGTGTGCTCAGCATGGTACAAAGCATGGTCAAAAACCAGAAAAAAAAGATGTTTTGCCCCTGCTGTAAAGGGAAGAAAATAGCTGCTCCAGTGCATCAGTCATGATAGAAGCATTTGATAATGTTACAAATGACACAGGTGTGATGGAAATAACTGCTCTTGGGGACAGTTTAGACAGACGTAACCCTGTGGTTGGCAAAATGAGACTGCTTGATTTGCAACAAAGTCTTGAAGGGTGGGTAGAATTTAGGACCAGCAAAATCACAGCAGGGGTAACAGGAAAGATACATAGAAGTGAAATGAATGTGGCATATTTGTAAGCTGGCAAAGGCATTATCAAGCTTATTTAGATAGCTCTTTTCCTTTGCTTTATTTTCCAAGCTAAATATTCCAAATTTTAAACCATCCCAGTTCCCTTACCTGCTCCTCTCCCTATGAAAAATCATTGCTGTCTCTGCCCCCACGGTGCTCCATAGACTGTTCCATCCTGATACATAATATTAGAAGTATTTGTATTTCTTCCTATGCAACTGCTCTTCAGGGAAAAAACTGAGGCTCATTCCTCTAGATTTTTATGATTTCATAAAATCATAAGTAAAAAGTACTTAGAATGTGAAGGAATTTTTGATGAGTGACTGGGTTTCCTTCAACCACAATTTGTTTATATGATTCTCCAGACTCATTGACATCATTGACCTTTCCAGATCTCCCTGCCCCCTTCCTTCTCTGCTCCATGCTTCTTAACTGACCAACATTCTTGTAAAATTATGAAATTGAAAGTCCAAAATTCCCGGTGCAGGGTTAAACTTAAGACTGTGACTCAGTAAACTTATCTCTAAATTCATGCAAATTCAGTCTTAGAATGCAATAGGTGTATGAGATCACAGGCTCATATTGAGCCTGTTTTAAAAATAAAACTTTCAAAAATTGATGTTCTCCCTCATTCTTTATTGATGGAAACAAATTTTTTGACCCTAAATATGGAACTTCATGCATTTGTAACTGTCAGATTTCATTATATTCGCATTACAAATATTCATGATAATTTTGAACCTTGATTTTGCCGTTTATGATACTTAGTTCTCCTTTCCAACTTTACCAAGAGTTCCATTTGACAAATACATATTCTACTCTTTCTTGGTCAGTTAATGAACTAAAAATATTGACCTAAATAAAGCCAAGGGAGGAATCCAGAGTGGCACCCCTGGAAGTTTTGTCCAGGCTGACAAGAAGCCAATGAGTTATCTCACTTTAGACATACTGTTCAAGTGGTTACATAAACAGTTCACTAACATGGGTGTGCTCTGGCTAGCATTCTTTTCATAGCATCAATGAAAAATCATTTTCAAGGCTTTTCTAAAGCCAGGATAAACTTACTTCAACAGCCTTCATCTGGGTAATGAGAAAACAAAGTTAGTGTGATGTGATGTGATGTTTTTCCTCACATTATTCACCAACAATCACTGCCACCTTACTCTTCATGATGTTGAAGCCATCAGCCAAAACTTGTCAGTTAGATATTTCCACAGTATATCTTCTACCTGCTTTTGAAAATCCAGACAATATCTTTCTCATGTTCTCTCACGCATCTCCTGTGCTTCAGGGACTGTCAAAGATTTTTTAAGCAATAATTAAGTAAAGGATCATGATATATCTAATTAATAAAATAATCATGTTGAGCATCATAAAGATATTGACACAATAAATGAGTAACTGTTGTGCATCAAGAATTCTGAAAGTTCCATTTATATTTGGTGGCATTCGTCAAACTATCTACATTTCTTTAATTTTAGTTTCTTTTCACATAATGAAGTAACACTAAATAGGATAGTTATGAAGTTCCACTTAGTCTTGAAATTTTATACTCTGCGTTTAGCAACTTTAGACGGCCAGGGAGTCCTTTATAACTTGTTATCTATAGTGCAGAGATCTGCCATTGACATGGCACTGAATGTACATTAAGATCTATTACCTTTAAGAGTTTTCATTAGAGCTGCTGCCTCCTTTATGTAGAGGGCAGAACCAGTCTAAGAAGGAGGAAATGTTACTTCTTAGCCTGGGCATACCTGCCAATCAGAAAGACCATTGGGGAATTTGATGCAAAGTTATTACTGGTTGATGACTCCACATGCCAGAATTCTCACTGATATTTTTAAATCCCTGCAATAAAGTCTCAGTAGAAGAAACTGCAAGATGAATTACACATGCTTATAGATCTATCTCTGACAAACTTCAGGGTTTTCATTCATCTTTGTAATTTCAGCACTTGGTGTCCCAGTAAATCGCTGGGGAATAGAATCGAGAAGAAAAGCAATGATCTCGCCCCACAAAGTGGTAAAGACTAGGGGTTAAATATATTGTTTTTCTAATTGAAGGTGAGAAAAAAAAGTTTCTAAATCCTCTGCAACAGTTATTTTCCTTTCAATTCCCTTAGGCTTTAGTTGATGAACTATTTTCTAAAGAATTTCCTTTGGAGATGCCTTTTTATTTACTGAAAAGAACTAATTGTTTTCACAGTGATGTATAAAAATACAGTTTGTTCAACTCACCATTCTGTATCAAGAATTAGAAAAATATTGTTCTCAAGGCACGGTCTATTCCGAGGAACTTTGCTTTTATAATGTGCGCTAACAGCAGAGCTGCCCTTATTTAAACAATCATTAGGAACCATTTATATGTGGTAGCAAACTCACGTTGATTATTCACACCCTGTTATCAGGAGGAGGAAATGAAAATTTACATCCACATCTTTAACCCTGCCACGAGCAGTGTTTCATTCTGCTCTTGAGTCCCTTGACACTGAGGTCAGGTGCTGTGTGTTTATTACTCAGCCTGTGTGAAGCCTTTCCTGCCTGAGACCACTCTCCTCTGGGGAAAACAATTGTGTAGCTGAAAGCAGCTTTCTCCTTCCCTTGCCATTCTGTCCTCTCCAGCTGGGGTTGTTTATTTCAATGGTTCCCAACCATTTTGGCACCAGGGACGGGTACATGGGTTGGGGGTTGGGGCAGGTATGGTTTTGGAATGGAACTGTTCCGCCTCAGATCATCAGGGCATTAGATGTGCAGCTCACAATAGGGTTCATGCTCCTTATGCTGACTCTGATCTGACAGGGGGGCAAAGCTCAGGCAGTAATGCTTGCTTACCTGCTGCTCACCTCCTGCTATGTGGCCCAGTTCTTAACAGGCCACAGTACCAGTTCTTGGCCTGGGGTTGGAGACTCCTGGCTTATCTGATGGTTCAGTTTCCAGGATGCTAGAAAATCTTCATTTACTAATAGGCAAGATCAATGTGCATTGAAAGGGTACATGTGCAGGTGCCTCATCCTCTTTACATGTTTAGCTCAAGGCTCAAGATTTGAATAAATAGCTCTTTTGTTTTCTTTTATCCTTTCTTCATGAGGTGTTGGGATCCCTGCTTCCCAGGAGATGGCCTGAGGTGGTAAGGTAGGGGCCTTCAGGTGAAGGACTGAGCCAAGCCTTGAGATTAAGCCAATGCTGCAGACCTGTCTTAGGCAGTACTGTGTTGTATAAGGTGCATGCTCAACTTATAGTAAAGGAACAAGTTGTTCACACTGCTGTTGTCCCTTAGGCTTTTAACTTTCTTTGGAAACTAACAAAGAGAAAGGGTAAAAGGTCTTGCAATGGTAAAAACAACAATAAACAAGAAAACCTGTCTGATGAAATTATTAATAGAAAACATAACCATGGGGAAAAATCTGCGGCAGCACTGTACATTCGGAGGGGTGATCTCCAGGTAACTTAAAAAAGATTCCACTATGTATAGCATACTTTGATCAGGTTGAAGGAAGGAAAAAAGAGCTCTTTACAATTCTGCGAAAAGGCAGCATTATCAGGCAGTCTCGGATGACTATGATTTTTGAGCCCTTTAGTATTCATTATGTTGTAAATTTACATTTTGCTTTTCCTTGCCTTTCATTAATATACTTGATATGTTTGGATACATATTATTAATATTTTGTTTAAAAAGCTTTCAGATGCCTTTGAAACTTTCACTATTTTCTAATTTAATATTTACTAATTTATTAAGTTTATTTTGATGGGAAGTTTCTAGTTTCTGGAGTTGAATATTTATTTCATTTAGTTGTATTCTTTCTTATTTAATGAAAAATATAATTAAGTAAATGAAGTTTGCTCTTTGTAAAGCTTCTACTACACCTGTAAGTGACTAAATAGCTACAATGAGATTACTGCGATACATAACAATCTTATTGTAGTTAATTTTAATAACTTGTAACAGAGTTTTGATTTATTTTCTGATCTACAGATTATTTAGCAGAGGATTTTGTTTTTATTTCCAAGTGATTAGTTTTTTTAATCATTTTGCTATAAATTTTTGGTTTTATTACATTGTGAATAGAGAATTTATGATTATGGCTACGATATTTTGTTTGCAAGGGTATTGGAACACTGTTAGGAAAGTTCTATATAAAAGACATCTTATATCATCTACTTGATTTAATATGTTAATTGTGTTATTCTAATACTATATCTATCATTTTGATCTAATTGAACTGCAAAAATGTAACAATATATATCAATCTACCCCAAGACCATGGTTCTTTTTCATTTTAACTGGTTGTATTCCTATGTCTTTTCTTATACACTTTGGAGTTAGTGAATTCAGAACCAAGATCTATGACAGATGTGTCTTTATTGTAAATTATCCCATTTAGTAAATCATTTCCTTTTTCAGAGTTAATGTTTGCTGCATGATTTTACTTTTGTTTTTAATATTACCATCTCTGCTATATCTGTGATGTATACTTATGCACTTCTCATTATCTGCCTGTCTATTATTATCCTTCTGTGTAATTTGTATTTCTTGCAAAAGTTATAAATTAAACTTTTTTTTAGTCCCAGTGTTGGTCTTAATTAGGAGGATTCAACCTGTTTTCATTTATTTTAATAATATATGTGGTTGTTTTATTTGTTCAACCTTTTCTTAACTACTAAAAAATACACAGAAAATTGTAGAGTCATTACTACAAAACTCATGATATATTTCAAAGTGAATTATACTCATGTAACTGTCATCTGGATTAAGATATATTACTTAATGCAACTACCCTCAGGCCACATCCCAGTCATTACATCACCTGAAGGTAGTCATTCAGACTACTATTACCATAGATTACTTTCCTTGTTTTTGAAGTTTATATAAAAGAAATCATACAGTATATAATTGTATCAGGCTTCTTTTATTTATTTTTTTTGTGCCATTCATCCATGGTATTGCTAGAGCAAGTTTGTAGTTTCATTGTTGGATAGTGTTTGATTGTATAACTCTCACAAAGCATTTTGATCCATTCTACTATTGATGGACATTCGAGTTTGTTTTTTTTTTTTTTCAATTTGGGGTTGTTATAAATACCACTGATATAAATGCTAATATACATATCTTTCAATGCACACTCCTTTGGAGAAGAGATATAAGGAACACAGGTGGACCATAGAACAGATAGATAGATAGAACCCTAGCAGGTTTGATAATTCTTTCTTGGAGTCTTGACACTTTATTTAGGAAGACTTTATTAGAAGACTCATCTTCTGCTCTAGGGATAGATGGAAATATATCAGCTTATTCTCTTGTTCCAACCAGACACTGATTATAGATGGGTTGAAAGACTCAAGTCAACCTTTGGTTCATACAGGCTCCCAGGGTAAGCTCTCTAGTGTCCCCAGCTGAAAGACTGCGATGTTTACTAGGACCTCTATTCTTGGCAGGCCCTGGACTCCAATTTTGCCTCCTCAGTAAGATGATACTTCCAAAACCTCAGCTGTAGATTTCAGTGGTTTTTCTGATTAGCCTCTCCTACCCTGCACAGCTTGAAATTCAGCAAATGCCTCAGAACCACCAGTGTTGGGCTAGGGTCTCTGCACCTCTCTTTCCTTTGAAATCTTGGCTTTTCATATCCTGCCATCCTTTGTGGGCCTCAACTCTCTTCTATCATGTAAGATTGCTAAATATCAGTCATTTACTGTGGATTTATGATTAGTCTGCTATCCTCTTGCTCTCTAAAGTTAGGAACATCCCTGAGGAGGAAAGTGGCTTGCAGAATGTTGACTCATTCTCTCTACTTTTTCTCTTCTCTTGGACATTCAAGTGCAGATAGCCTCATCAGCACACGTGTCTTTATATAGATGATTTTTTTCCCTATTTTATCCAACTTTACTAATTGTTCTTGATGGAAACAAATAACTTGAATTGGAAGTCTAAGTCTGACGTGTGCTTTGCCTTTTGTTTCTATGCTATTCTAGATGTTTCCTTTTCTATCATTTTACTTTTGTTTAAATTTTGTTTTTCCTTATTTTTTTCCTAGCTTTAAAATTACATGTCATATTTTAGTTGTTGTGGTAGCTTCTTTCATATTTTAAGCAACATATTTAAGCTTATATTTCTATATCTGTCAGTGTCACGAAAAATAATATTTATGGAGCTCTACCCTTCTTAATCCCTCAAAAATCCCTTGGCATTCTGCCATTGCCTTTAAAATCATGTCTACCAGTATATTTCTTTTCCTCTTTCAGGTAAGATTTGTTTTCTATGCCTGGATGCTTATTAAAATTTCACAAATTTTTCGTAGGATCTGAGCCTTTTGCTGTTTGTCTTTATTTGCTTCTTTCAGGTTTCCCAGCTTACTTGACTAAACTTGTAGTGGGCAATATCTACATGTACCTGATTGTCAGTTTGAAACATTAAATCATCATAAGTGTGGGTGTCTTTATGTGTAAGCTGATTTTTTTTTTAAAAAAGGGTCCCATTCTGTTGCCCAGGCTGGAGTGTAGTGGCATGACTATAGCTCACCACCACCTCGAACTCCTGGGCTCAAGCAATCCTCCTGCATTAGCCTCCTGAGTAGCTGGGACTGCAGCTGTGAGCTACAGTGCCTGAATATGTATGTATGTATGTATGTATGTGTTTATTTTAGAGATGGGGTCTTGCTATGTTGCACAGGCTGATCTTGGATTTTTGGTTTCAAAAGCAAACTTTCCCCCTTGGACTTCCAAAGTGTTGGGATAATAGGCATGAGGCACTGAGCCTGACCTGATTCATTTTTGATTTAAATAAGTCATCAGGTGTCATGGGCCAATTCCCTCCCACTTATGGTCAGTAAAGGCAAATGAAGATATGAAAAAAAATAAGTAAAAAGATAATGTGAAGGAAGTATGGAACTTAGTTTCTGCTTTCAAGGAACTCATAACTATTTAGGAAAAAATAGCCAGTCATTAGTTACCTTCCCAGGGTCCATTTTCCCTTTTTAACTGACGGAGAGAACCCCAGCCTCCAGTGCCATAGGGGTGGCCACATGACAGTCTTTCCATTGAGACATAAGTGAAGTCTGCGGAATGTCCTAGGAAGATGTTTGCTTCTTAGAACCAATGCCAATAAATGCAATTGACATTGTGGCCTTGTTTTCCCCACCTCTCAGCCCCTGCCCTGACGTGAACATGAACTCCGAAGTTATAATAGCCATCTTGAAACCTTAATGTATCTGTAGTAAGACAAATGTTAACAGAATCATAAGGAAGAGGATCTGGATTTCTAGAACTATGCTTCTAAACAATTGTCAGTGGGCCCCTTGGCTATAGACTTCTTGAGATCTAAGAGAAACAAGCCTCTACTTGTTGAAGCCACTGTTAATCAAGTCTTCAGCATATGTAGCTAACTGATACATTGGAGAAAATCAATTTAAATAACTACACAGGGCACATTGTGGTGAAGAGCAGAATGTGTGATATGGGTGAAAATGGTTGTGATTTTCCTCAGCTTCCTCACATGCAGGCCAGTCTTTACGCATCTCCCTGGGAAAAGCCCTGCCTGCATTTCCTACTGCTTGCAGTTACCTAAGCAGCAAAACCAGAATCAGCAGCTGGGAAGCACATTCTAGGGGTGCTGAGAAAAATGTTTTCCCTTTGAATCATTGAAAAGAGTTCATTGTGAGATTCTTCTTTTCCCTAATAAATCACCAGAGTGAAACATAGATGGTCAGAACTGCTAGAGAGTGTGCTTTCAGACACTTTTAATTATGGAGCCCCCCAAAATCCTGACTAAACACTACTGTGAAAGAATGGAGAAATTAAATTCAGGAAAATAAATGAATATAAAAATACAGTAATCTCTGGGACTTCATTTTTCCCCCAGCACTATATAATCCTGAAATCTCAGAGCTGATAGCACTAGAGGAATCTGCTTTAAGTACAAATTATTTAATTAGATTAATTTTACCTTAATTAATTGTAATTATTGGCCCACAATGACGTTAGACACTTTGCTGAGCATTTAAAGGAAAATAAATACATAAACTGGACACAGATGTCTTGGTCTTTATAGTGTTGGAAAGTTCTATCGTCACTTTGATGACAAGAAATGGCAGGAAAATTGTTCCATAAAGTCTATTTGGGAACTACAATGATGCCTAACTCATTTGGAGGCACTTTTAATGAGAATGGAATTCATGGAGAAAAGTCAATCCTAATGACCTTATACTTTCAACATGTATATATGATAATGTTTCTCATTTTTGAAACTCTCATTCATTCATTTATTGCTTTGAGGATGTACATGTATTAGACACTGCTTTTACTAAATGAATTACCTTCTCCCAGTTTACATCCCACAGTAAATACTCCAGTTTTCCATGCAATATATGCATTGATTAGATCTCTTCAAATGTCAAGGTTAAGACATTCCAAGTTCATCGAGTTTAACCACACAAAGAGATTTCTTGGCTCACATCATATAAAGGAGTAAATGTTCATGGCTGAAATTAATAGGAGTCAGGGCTCAATACTCACCAGGAGTTATTTCTCAAACCCTTTACCACCCCTTTCTTACCTAGGCTTCTCACAGAGTGTCATTATTTCATCTCTCAGAATTCTCAATGTATGGTTCTGGGTTAGAACTAGCTGCCAAAGAAACTTCTGCAGGCCATTTTTATAATCAGAAGGTGGGTGTAGGCTCAGGTGCTGTTGAAGTTAACACAGGTGGACACAGGTCTGCTAGCTCACCATATTGGCCTGGGCAGTAACCAGGCCTGCAGCTCCTCCTCTGGCAACCACTGGATCTCTTTCATGAGCATCTCCAACTGCTGTGTTAGGTACATGTTTAGCTCCATGAGGAAGGGCACCAGCTTCTTCTGTATGGTGACGCATTATCCAAGTTGAAGGCTTGGAAGCAGTAAGAAATTAATAAAGGTGCCTGTTTACCATCATGAGTTCTGGAATATTCTATGATTCCCATTTGTTCTTTCTCTACAGAGTTTCAAATCCATCTTTCCATCCTGAATCCCTGCCTTGTGGACTTCAGGCCTCAGCACCATGTACAAAAGCAAAAGTCATACATAGACTGGTTAACCAGATTGCAATCTTATAGTCAGCTCCCTGTAATCAACCCTTTAATCTGTATTACTCCAAGAAGTTCTGATTCTCTCATTGAACCCTGACTGATAACTTGACCATATGAAATTATTTTTAAAACTTTACTTTCAATGTTTATTGAATGAATAAATGAATGTGATAAATGAAGTTATTCTTAGGACACAATCTTCACTCATTCACTCTCCCTTTTATTAATATAATAATACATCCTCCTTTCTATCTATCCATAAGACTAATTAAATGAGTTAAGACACGTAAAGTACTTAGAGCAGTGCCTGGCATGTAGTAAGCACTAGGTAGGTCATTATTATAGCAGGTTTAGCGGTATGATATGGTTGCTAAAAAGGTAAAGGAATCTTTGGGTATAATGGTAGAAGTGAGGGATCAGGATCAAGGGAAGCTCATGGCCCACTGCATTTTTCATTGCCAAGATTTTGTGTTCAATTCTGGGTGTCTCTAATTTAAAAAGTGTTTATACCTTCTGGGAGATTGAGTGCTGAAAGTGGTAAAGTGTGTAGACTCATGCCAAGTGAAGAACATGGAAAAGACTGGGATGGAGGATATGACTTCTCTTGGAGACAGATTCAGAAGCTGAAATAAAGCTTTCTTGAAAAACTTGAAAGGCTGTCATGTGGAAGAGGAATTAGAGTATCATTTTAAAAGCATCCATGAAAGCAACTGTAAATAATGTACAGGACTCTCTTACACACACACCTGCACTCAAGTGGAAGATGACAAGAGAACCGGGTCAATAACATTTTGCTACTGACTTCCAACGTGGGGAAATAAAGACTAGCTTTCCAGCTGAAAGTACTGGAGAATTTTAGGTTGATAAAAAGTAATTACCTGGGCAATGAAGCAGCATGAAGCACTATAAATGGCTGCATTAGAACACTGATTGGGACTCAGCTAATTTCTCTGGTGAATTTTTCCGTGAAATCTCAGCTGAGATATAACAAAATTTAGGGCAATTTTCTTCGTTTCCACCAACCAATATCTTTCATAGAACCTTTGTATGTATCTATTTTTCTCTATCTCTTGTCAAACTAGACATCTGCCTGATCAGATTTATCCATCCACATTCTGTTTAACTCCCTTTCTAAACCATCACTGCAAGTGTTTGCAATGAGGTGTGGGCCTTAGCTCCATTTACCACTGGACTGTAACTCACACAGAGGCTCCTGTAAGGCTCAAGGTCACAGCCCATGAGAGGTGAGCGTCAGTTTGCTGCAGTCTGTCTCCTGGTCTCACCTGCCAAGTCCCATTCACTCTTCTTCCAGTCTTTGTGTTGCTTTCTCTTGCCAAGAATGAGAAATAATGCTCCTACCCTGTGAATATCTTTCTCCTACATCCTCCTCAGAGATTGCTCATATTTCCTATGGCTCGTGATATCTTTCTGTGACTTTCAGGCACATACCTTTGAGTAAAACTGCCAGAAGCAAATGTCATCCTTTTTCTTTTATCAATAGTCTTTCAGACTTTGCACAAGTGACTTGCTTCTCAACTGCTACTGTGCTGTAGAGAGAGCACGGGGGATTTCATGTGGAAAGAGCATTTCGACTGCAGAGAGCCCCCGCAACTCTCTGAAACACAATTCCCTGGGTGTGTTGCCTGGGAAGCTTGTGCTAAGCATGGAAATTAAGTTGTGGCAGGTCGAGTGGTTGTTCTATACTTTGAATAAGAGTTAACAATTCTGGGTTAAACGAGGAAGGAGAAAGAAGGACTTCACTGAATTGTGCATTCATTAAATAAACATTGAATCTCTAATTATTTGGGGATATATGAAAAAGACTTGTTGCTTAACCTTATGATGCTTATGGTCTAGAAGAAAAGACAGTTATAAATCAACTAAAAATAATTAAATATTCTAATGCAATCTAAGTAGGTGTAGCGAGAATAAGGTGGCAAGGAGAAAAAAGTGGATTCTGCTTTAGTTAGAATTACCATGGCTAACTTCTAGAAAAATGTGAAATTTAGTGGAGATATGACAAATAACTAGTCCAATGAAGATCACTAGTACAGGCATTCTTCACTTTCCTTTTCCTGAGCCTGGGGAGGGGGCCATATAATACAGATTTCTCTAGGACTGGCTGTGTACTCTGTCTTCTGCCCCATCGGCTAGGCCAGCAATTTACAGCCAGAAAGCTGTAACTAAATGTAAATTATATTTTTCCAAAGAGATAAAAATCTTTGTTGTTAATGATGTACATGCTGTGGGCCTACTGTGTGCAACTCACTGAGCTAGCACATTGATAAATGTAGAATGGGTATAAAATGCAGATCCTGAGCTCAAGACCTGACCTTGATTATTCCATAGCAGGAGGAAAGGGAACAAGGATATCTCTGAGAAGTAAAAATTCATGATTTGTTATAGCTGATGAATAAAACAAAGTACTTTCCTAAGAACACACCACTCACTTGGAAGTGTTAAAAAATAAACAATATTAGCATGAATCAAAGGGTAACATGTATTGGCTGACTACTCTGTACCTATTATGATAGGCACATGAAATAAGAGCATATTTACGATGATGCTTCTATCTTTGAAAGACTTACAGATGCACTTCATGAATGGCCATCGATTCAACAAAAGTGCAACATTACACATATTGTGGCTTCACTTGGAAACTTATAGATTCACACACATTCATTTTCTGTGATGTCTCTGCATAGCTTTCCCACCCTTCTCATCCCCACTACTTTTTTGCTTCAAAGTAAAATTATTGTTCGGAGTCCCTAGTGTTACAAAGCAGTTGCATGCTGTGACATTGATCACCTGAACACAATAGGTATCTTGGGCAGAAAATACTGAATAAATAGAAAGTCAGTGAGAAGGGAAATAAGGTGTTTATTAGACACCGTTGAATGAGCAGGGAGGAAGAAAAGAAATCAGTGAAAAGTGGCACTGTTTGAACCAAGTATCATAATAATACCATGTCTTAAACACTTTCCACCCACACATATGCATCTACACATAAGCAGGCACCCACAAGTGCATATGTGTCACATAGCTTTGCAACCCTTTAGGGAGCTGGCCCTTTCTGTAGATCTTATTGATGTTCATGGGTGATTGGCAACTGTAAATGGGCTTTGGAGATGGGCAAACATTGGTTTTAAATCCCAGCTCTGTTGAGCTCTGTTAGTTAAATCTTATTCAGAGAGTAATTTGTCTCCTCTGTGTCTCAGTTTTCTCATCTGGGAAATGTGGACAGTAATGCCTAATAAATGGGAATAGTGTGAGGAGGAGCCCGTGGCCCAGAGTTAGCATTCATATAACCAGTTCACTGTGAAATTCACCTAAAACAACCATTTACAAAGTCAGATGCTATTTAACAAAAATGCTGTTAAACATTTTAAATATATAGATGAATTCTTAAAGAAATTAAGATTTGGTAAAATCTGCTTGAGAATGTAGATGCTTTCTTTTACTCCATGACTTTAGGCCACTAAGCCATCCTCATCCCAGAAGAAGTCTGGAAGTTTATTCTCTAGAGATGGTGAAAGGAATGGTCCCTGAAATGGGGGGATCCAGGCACAATCATGGGATGAACAGGAAAATGTACATAAAGAATGCTCCATCTAAGTCCCCTGACCCACCTCTCCCAGTCTGGCTTCTGGAAACTTGGAGGCCGTGTCCTCACCCAGGCAGAAGATTGGGAGGCTTTCTCCTATACCACCTAGCTAGCCCAAGAGGGAAGGCCGGAAGAGAGTGTGCGGTGATGACAGGGCTGATTCCCAGATCATCCTGTGTGATGGTGGAGCCAACACCATGTCCTTGCCCATCAGTGCTTCTCATCAGCTTTACAGTTCTCCACCCTTTTACTCTTAATTGTGAGAAGACAATGAAGATTTACCAGACGTTGAGAAGATCCTCCAACCAGAAACAAAGGTACCAAAGTAAAAAGAATCAGGTAACTTGGAGGAAACAGGGACTATATAGAACGGGGGGGAACAAAAGAAAATGAAACCATTATGAATGCCCTGAAAGAGATCAAAGAGGATATTGCAGCCTTGAAATGGGAATAAATTGCAACAAAAAGCAACATAGGATTCAAATAGAGTGAAAGAAAATAAGATATATTTTCAGAAAAATAAAGTTGGAGAGACTTTACCATTCACAGACTCTTATGGAATGAATTACTAAATGGATGCACTTCACAAAGAATAACTTTGAAAAAAATCAACGGATGAAGTAGAATGCAAAAACATGATGAGCAAGTAAATTTGTAAGCAAACGGCTAATATATATACATAAAGTTTTATAAAGAAGGGTAAAATTATCTTATAAAAATAAAGTGAAATTATATCACTAGAAATCATCACAAGAAAGCTGGAAGGAGGCTGATCAGAGTTAAAGCACCCAGGGGTATGTGCTTCATTCAGGAGGTGGGTAATGATGTGATCAACTTTAGATTTTGGTAAGCATGCACACTACAGAACAGGAAGAGCAAATATATATATATATATGTATGTGTGTGTGTGTGTATATATACACACACACATGTATATATGTATATAGGTGATACAATGGAAAGAGGAAATTAAGGTAACACTGAAGCAAAGAGAAATCATGGTAAATGAGGAGCATAAAATAGAAGGGAATAGATTCCAAACATACACATGTGGGTGTGCATGTAAATTAATTTATTCATAATATTATGGATATTCATACATTTTTTATGTTAAATCAACTATAACAAAGAAAAGACAAACTAGAATTTTGAACAAGAGCAAAAAGTGTCAAAACCAATGTAAGATAATGTTTCATCCATTAAATTTACTGAAATTACAATATGATAAAAATAAATCTTAGAAAAATTATGTGGAAATTGGAAACTTTATGCCGAGAGAATAAATTGACACAATTACAATCATTTTGGAGAGTAATTTGGTAGTATCTAGTAAAGATAAAAATGTACATACCAGATACCTCAGCAATCCCAACTAAATCAAAAGTGTGTTCTTCAATTCTCAAACATGCACAAAATATATGCTGCCACATGATTGCTGAAAAAATCTTGGTAAGAGTAAAAAAATAAAATCCGTCTCACTGGTACACAGTAAAATAAATTAATAAACTAATTAGTTCATGCCTTGGAGTACTCTATTGCCATTAAAATGCATGACCTACAACTTTATGAACCAACAGAAACATAATTTGGAATTTGGTTATAGTGCAAACTTTGATAGTGTTTTAGAGTCTGGAATGCAAAGTATACGTTCATAAACACATTATATTATAATGTATTATATGTTGTATGTCTAATATTTATACATAAACTATAGTAAGAGTATAAAACAATGAATAATACCTATCTGACCCATAGAAGACTAGTTATCTCTAGGGAGAGAGGAAGGGAAGAGATCCAGAGGCAGGTATTTTGCTAAATCTGTAAAATTATCTTTCTTTTAAACCAAAAAGAAGAGCTGAAGCCATTTGACAAAATATATATATCTTTTTCATTTTGGTATTGAATGTACATATAGCTATGATATAATTTCCTGTGATTTTCTGTGTCTTTGAAATAAGTCATTATTTAAAATGTTTAAAAATACATAAGTGCATGAAAAGGTAGGCATATGGGTGGAACTGGCATCATTCAAATCATGTAAATTTTATATTAAGCCTATTTATTACATGATTTCACAGTAATGTAATTAAAATTAAAACTGTCTAATGATTCTTCCTTTGCCATGTTGCTGTATATCAGAAGGACTATCTCTATGAAAATAACTTAGGGTAGATGCTATCAGGAAAACAGCAAATTATTCCTGGAATTTAGAATTTGGAGACCCACAGGATTTTCTGAATGTGATCTGGGATTCTTTCTTAAGTGTTATATTAAGAGACACTTGAAGGTGAATCTCTGTTAATATCATTTATGCGTTTATCAGTGACTTAGTTCCCAAATAGTATATTTTAAAATATTTTGAATGAGAGTGCACTGTTGAATCAGCCAAATTCTTCCCAATGTGACTTTTTGGAAGAGAGCAAGCCCCATCGCCACAACTCTTATATTTGTTAATTATCCTGGCATCTCCCTGTCCTGAATAGGTTCTTAATGTAGAAGTAGGAAATGTGCCTGGGCTCCATATTAGGACAACTATAATGCCTAGTGAGGCAGTGGTGTCCTTTGTCTGAGGTTCACAGCCCCCTGAAAGAAGGTCTATTATAGCACTGACCACAAATACTGTAAATGTGCTTCATTTATCTAAATATTCCATTGATTGTATAATTCATTTTTTTAAAAGTAAACTTTTTAATTTAAAACAAACATTTACCTAGAATCCACAGTGTGTGGGCTGTGGATAAATAAGATACAATATTTACCCACTGACAATCTACTGTTCAGAACAATCATTCTGAATACTACCTGCAAACTGAAAATTGTGGAGGACAGGTATGCATATATATATATGCACTTACATACCTCAGAACTATTGCAGATTCAGTTCCAGATTACTGTAATAAAGTGAGTGTCCCAATAAAGTGAGTTTCCCAATAAAGTGAGTTACATGAATTTTTGCTTTCCCAGTGCATATTAAAGTTAGTTTAAACTATACGGCAGTTTATTAAGTTTGCAATAGCATCATGTCTAAAAAATGTACATGTCTTAAAGAATACATTCTTGCTAAAAAAAATGTGGTGATGATCATCTAAGCCTTCACTGAGTCATGATCTCTTTGCTGGTGGAGGATCTTGCCTCAATGTTGATGGATGCTGACTGATCAGGGTGGTGGTTGCTGAAGGGTTGGGGTAGTTGTGGCAATTCCTTAAAATAAGACAACAATGAAGCTTGCCACATCAGTTGACTCTTTAATATTTCTCTGTGTAGCATGGAATGATGTTTGATAGCATTTTACACACAGTAGAACTTAATAGGGGTCAATCTTCTCAAATTCTGCTGCTTTCTTAACTAGTTCACATAATATCCTAAGTACCTAGATGCCATTTCAACAATGTTCACAGCATCTTCACCAGCATGGATACTCTGAAGACACCACTTCTTTTCCTCATCCATAAGAAGCAAATCATCATGCCTTAAAGTTTTATCATGAAGTTGCAGCAATTTAGTCACATCTTCAAGATCTAATTCTAGTTCTCTTATTATTTCCCCCATATCTGCAGTTGCTTCCTCCACTGGAGTCATGAACCCTCAAATTCATCCATGAGAGTTGGAATCAACGTCTCACCTCCTGTTAATTTTGATCTTTTGACCTCCTCCCATGAATTATGAATGTTCTTAATGGCATCTGAAATCCTTCCCAGAAGGTTTTCAGTTTGCTTTGCCCAGATCCATCAGAGAAATCTCTATCTATGGCAGTTAAGCCTCATAAAATGTGTTTTTTAAATAATAAGACTTCAAATTCAAAATTACTTCTTGATCCATAGCTGCAGAATGAATGTTGTGTTAGCAGGCATGAACATATCATTAATCTCTTTGTTAATCTCCATCAGAGCTTTTGGTTTACTAGGTCCACTGTCAATGAGAAGTAATATATTGAATGGATTTTTTTTTCTGAACAGTATATCTCCATATAGTGCTTTAAATAGTCGTCAGTACACCATGCTGTATACAGATGTGCCGTCACCTATGCCTTTTTTGCCCCATACGTAGAGCATAGGCAGAGTAAATTTACCATAATTTTTGAGGGCCCTAAAATTTTCAAAATGGTAAATGAGCATTGGCTTCAACTTAAAGTCACCAAGTACATTAGCCCCTAACAAGAGAATCAGCCTGACCTTTGCAGGGTTGAAGCCAGGCTTTGACTTCTCTTCTCTAGCTATGAAAGACCTAAAGGACATCTTATTCTGATAGAAGGTTGTTTCATATATTGAAAATTGGTGGTTTAATGCAGCTACTTTTATAAATGATCTTAGCTAGATCCTCTGGATAACTTGTTGTAGCTTCTACATCAGTACTTGCTGCTTCACCTTGCACTTTTATGTTATGGAGATGGCTTCTTTCCTTAAACCTCATAAACCAACCTCTGCTGGCTTCGAACTTTTCTTCTATAGCTTCCTACCTCTCGGCTTTTATAGAATTAAAGAGAGTTAGGGCTTTTTGTTGAATTTGGCTTGGGCTTAAGGGAATGTTGTGGCTGGTTTTATCTATCCAGACCATTCAAACTTTCTCCATATCAGCACTAAGACTATTTTGCTTTCTGATCATTTTTGTGTTCACTGGAGTGGCACTTTTAATTTCCTTTAAGAACTTTTCCATTGCATTCATAATTTGGCTGTTTGGTGCAAGAGACCTTGCTTTTGTCCTATCTGGATTTTCAATATCCTTTCTCACTAAGCGTAATCATTTCTTGCTTTCAATTTAAAGTGAGAGAGGGGTGACTCTGTCTTTCACTTGAACACTTAGAGGTCATTGCAAGGTTATTAATGGCCTAATTTCAATATTTTTGTGTCTTAAGGAATAGGAAGACCTGAAGAGAGGGAGAGAGACAAGACGACAACTGCTGGGCAGATTAGTCAGAACACACTTAACATTTATTAAGTTCCCTGTCTCATATGGGAGCAGTTTGTGGCACCCCAAAATGATTAGTAACATCAAAGATCACTGATCACAAATCACCATAACTGATATAATACTAATGAAAATTTGAAATATTGCTAGACTTACCAAAATGTGACACAGATATGCACTTGGAAAAATGACACCAATAGATTTGCTCTATGCAGTGTTGCCACAAATCTTCCATTTGTAAAAATTTATAAAAAATGAAATATTTACAAAGTGTAATCTAGTGAGGTGTAATATACTAAGGTGTGTGTGTATATATATGTTTAGTCATACACACACTATATATTACTATATATATACACACACACATATGTATATATACGCCTTACACAAATGTTTCACCTCCTTGGAGTATTCTAAACAGCACCCAAGATTGAGAAAATGAATGAATTAAAATGGGAAATTTTTGCAGGCCGAAAGAGTGAGGGTAACGATCAACTCAGTATACCACTGGAGGCTACATGAGTAAACCGCAAACTGTTCTCATGAAAGCAGGATGTTGGCAAACTGACAAACTGCGTCTGCCACCCAGAAGGAATGCTGAGGGCAGTCACGACCCAGGCACAAGTGTTTCTTGTAATTAGGCACATCTGAAGCCTGTTAGCAATAACATGAACCTGTGATCAATTAAGCAGCTGCCCAATCTTTACCACCTCCTCCCTGCTCTTTCTACCCAATAAATAAGAAGGGCTATAGAAGCTCAGGACTGCCTTTGCTCACTGGTAGCAGGGAGCTGTCTACTTCTTCCCCTGGACCCTTCCTTTAAAACAGTTTCTTTTGTCTTAAGTTTTCATTTCTGCATTTGTCCTCCTTCGTTCAGTCTAATGGGGGTCTCAAGTAGTAACAGTAGTAACTGTCGTAGTGACGGTCTCAAGTGGTAACCATGGCAGTCTGCAAGAGGAAATATGTAAGAATTGGCAGGGGTTGTTAATCTGCATTGAAGTGAATAGTGTCCATTAAAGGATAATTTCAGTTATCCCCATATTATACCCATATGTCCCCTAAATATACCCATATTTGTGATTTTATCAAGCTGATATAAAATACTTTACCCTATTTGGTGAAGTATGTCTCTGTGACACTGTCACAAAGACAGTGAATCATTCTGTAATATTGCACAGGGCTCTGAGGAACATGAGAGCATCTACTCCATATTCTCTCTTCCATGTTTGACAATTTTTCAAATTCCCTAGGCCAGCCACTTTTCTTTTATTTCAGTGCTTACGGTTCTATGATGATCTTGTCTTTCTCACGCAGCTGGGATTTCTGGGAGAATAGCAATGATTTGAAGAAATGAGCCGGTGGGATTAAGCCAGAATGACTGCATCTTCCCATACAACTGTGGATAACTATGATGCCTTCCCTGTTGTTCCTGTCTTTTCTCCACCCCACCTCATCATTTTCACTTTGCCCTGTTGTCCTTCAGACCTATGCTTTTGGAATCCTTGTGTGGTCAGTCTGCCTTCTCTTAGTCTCATTCCTGTTTGCCAGCCATCAAAGGCCTGTGTGTTTGTAACAGGTGGATCCTGGAGTTTGGCTCCTTGCAGAGACTATCTAATGGCCTCGTTTGTTGATTTGCTGCTGGAGGCATGGCTGTCCCAAAGATTAACTGGGTTCAAATCTTTTCTACTTCCAACGCTTAGTCACAAAACAGTGCTTGCTTGCTTGCTTCCTTCCTTCCTTCCTCCTTCCTTTCTTATTCCCTCCGTCCCTCCTTTCCTCTCTCCCTCCTCCCCTCTCTCGTTTTCGTTTTTGCTTCCTTGCTTTCTTTTTCTTTCTTCATCTTTCTCTCTTTTTTTCCCTATGTGCTTACTAAATGGGTGGCATGAAGTGGAACAGTTAATAAAATGCCTCTTCCCTATGGAGGTCCAGCATCTATGTCTGCACAGCTGTGCACTGCACAGCACCAGAAGAGCAATTCACATAGATCCTGATGTGAAGTGTCCCTAGAGTTGTGGACTATGATATTTATGTTTGGAGGCTGTTGGAGGAGCTTCTACTACCTTTTAATTATGTGAAAGCATGTCTAGAAAATTCAGACCTTTTACATTCTCACATTTTCATAACGTGCAAAGGATCCAATGATAAACTACCTTACTAGTATTTGCCTTTCCAAGGTGGCATATCCTTATTCCACATTTAAATCCTTAACAATAGAATGTAAGGACTGAAAAAGTAATGGAGATCCTCTGGTATATGCTCCTTACTTTATAAATAAAGGCATTGCTGTAAATTGCAGTGAATATTATTTTTTAAGTTATAAAATCACAATGCCTAAGACCAAAGTACTTATTTTTCAGTGGGGTGTTATGTCACTACATGAAATGTAGATTTCTAGACCATTTTGAAATATTAAAATAAAACCTATAAGGCATGAATAAAACTATTTCTCTTTAAAATAAGAAACAACGTAGATGTGATGGAGTCCCCATAATTATAGTGGCAGTTTAATATGAAAAATGTGTTCTTAAGTTATTTTATAATGGACTAACACTGAACCTAGATTCTCTACAATTTCTAACTGTTAAAAACTGACCCTAATTTTGACTAGATACTTCATTAATATTCATTTGTGTATAATTGCCTTAATTTCAGTGATAATGACTTCAGCTACCAACTGTTTGATTGATGGGTCTTGCATCTTCTCTGGGAAGAAGCTAAGATATAAAAATCACACCATTCATGCATGTCTGGTATTTTTAGCTGCCTTTAATTACTAACCAGCTAAATAAGCATGCAAACCATGCTGTGATTGATAGGATCTCTTGGTTGAAGTGATTTTTTTTTTCTCAGAATTTGGAAGATGCTTGAATCAATTGAGTACTAAAAATAACCACTGAAAACTGAATCTTCCAGAATCAGGATGCTCTTGAATAAAAGCATCTAACAAGAAGGAAGGATTAACCTGTAGCCTTTAAGACATTCTGATTGGAGAAAGAAGCAACAGAAAGTTCTCATTGAGTGCAGCAGTATGAAAAGAAAAAAAACTGTAATACTCCAAATCTTTATTTACTGAAGACATGCTAAGTAGCAACATGCCAGAAACAAAAGGAGACATGAACTTCAGGTCAGTGGGGGCAAAGAAAAGAACAAGACAGAGAACACAAAATATGCAACTGAGCCCGATGACCTAAGGCTGAGAAAAACACATTTTAGCTCAGAGCTGTGTCTGCTTTGGGAGGATGATAGCATTTCTTATATCATACAATGCTGGTGAGTAAAATTTCGAGGGAGGAGTTCCACAGAGAGATATTTGAAAATATCAACTATGTGAAAACAAAAATGCTTTCAAACCAAGCACATTGTAATAATAATAAAGCAAAATGCAACAACAACCAAAAAAAATGCACTAGAAATCTGGAAGAGGCTGCTCTAGTCAAGAATCAACTTAGCTAAGAAGTGTTTCTAGATACTTTCTTTGTTAATAATAAACAGTATTATCCTAAAGAAACATGATAATTAGAATGCTGCCACTCTCTGAAAGTGTTCTATTCTGTTGGATATCTTGCATTGGATAGGCAGAAGTTGAATTTTGGCACCCCCTGTATTCCTTTATGTTCTCTCTCTCTCTACTGTCTGACCCTTGTTTATCAAGGGGAAAGCATGCTCTCACTTCTTTTTCTTGGCTGAAGTCCTAGACTCCAGTGGCATATCCAAGTCCAAAATCTCTAAAATAACCCACAAACCGTAATATTCTTTCCTCCAGCCATTCAAAACTCTGTCTACATGGTGCTTTTGAAAGAGTTAGGAGGAAAGCAAGCTGATGATTTAAATTCACACTCTTGCTTTTCTTTCTTCTTCAACAATATCTAGACTTTTAAAGAAAATATTTTATAATACCTATGAATCTGTAACGGCTGAATTTAGGAGACATAAAAGGCAAGACAAAGAAAACTATTTGGAATGATTCTTTTCTTAAATACGTCATCCAAGTGATTTAATCAGATAACGTAGGGAAGGAGAATCAACAGGGAGAGGAGAAGATAGCTCTGCTTGATACATCGATCTCCATTTTATATGTATCAATTGTTTATTTGTACAAGGATGTGGACATTTGTTAGCTTTTGGGGGGTCCTCTCTAAAGGCTGTTAGGAAAACACAATGACTAGGTAGTAAAGGTGTCATTGGTCTTCCCAGTAAGTAGTTTCCAGCCCAATGGCAAATAATGACTGTCTTCTCATCTTTGATCCTGTAAAAGTGGGAATACATGACTGTCTTCCTCCTTGCCTCAGAGAAACTATGAGATATAAGTATGATTTTGTTTTTCTGTTTTTGGTAGGGAAAAAAGGGGATTAAAAAAAGAAGCAAAACAAACAGCAGAAGTAAAACTGTATTTATGATAATCTGCAGTGTATGGCTTTCAAGGCTTGGTTCCAAGGAAATTGACCCAGTGAAATAGGCTCAGGCACTGCTCACTTTGCACACAGCATAACGCGTTCTCCCAGAGACCGCTCGACAGTGGCTTTATTTATCAGACACTTTCACTGACTCCCTGCTCCTTCAACCGTGTGTCTTTCTTCTGTGTAGTAAAAAGAACCCCATTTTCTTCTTTCTCTGTAACATATACTAGAAAACAAACAAAAACAAAAACAAATGATGAGATGTTGCATTTTAGAGAGTCTGAGGCCATGTGGAAAAGAAGGAAAGCTGCGATTATGATAACATATGGAGGAAAGTGAGTTGCTAATGCACTTGGTTTCTTTTATTTATATTCCTTCTTCTGTTCCAAATAGTGTTACTGGGCTGTGAGCACCTGATGACACCCTTACACTGTGCCACGGTGTGATTTTCCTGGAATCAAAGCTGGATTATGCCAGTATTTTCAAGTCTCAAATAAAAATGAGAAAGTAAATCCCACAGCCAGGATCTCTTGTCTACATTAGCTCAGAGCTGGTTAAGTCAGGAATCTTCTAGCCTGGTAGCACTAAAATGGATAGAGGGTGGCCACTCATTTCAGGGTGTGCTTCCTTCCCTAGTTCTTTTGCTTATGCATGACCATCACTATCATCTGCCTCTTTGGTAGGTCACTAGTAAGCACTAACCCATGATTGCAGTGACTCTCAGAACTAGGAAAGGCAGACCACACAACACTTTTCTGTTCTTTAGGTAATGATTATGTTGAAAATAAGTGCAGTAGAGGTTAGGGAGAAGAAAGCAAATAATATAAAAATTGCTCAATAAATATTTGTAGAACAAAAGAATGAATAGATATGAGCTGAAGGTCTTATTAGAGGTGGGAGAATGGTATTTGCTAAGCAGAGAAAAGTGAAGGGGACTACAGGAGAAGAAATAAGAAAAGCCACTTCATTGGCCAGATTCTGTGCTAAATACTTGCATACATCATTTCATTTAATCTTCAAAATATACCAATTAAGGTTAGTTTTATTATTCTCCTTTTACATGGGAAAATTAAGGCTTAAAAAAATTAAGTAAACTTTGTTCCATTCCATTGTTAGACAGCAACAGAGCCAAGATATTAATGCATTTATGTCTGACACCAGCTCTTGCTCTGTTCACTGTTCTGCTGTCTCACTGAAGACTGACTGAGCTCATTCACAGCCTTCGTTTTACACATTCTAAATTCTTTCTCCCCATCTTCATGTGTTGAAGTTCTTTCTGTCCATTTCGTCAGGTGCAGCTAAAATATCAACTCTTTATGAAGCCTTCCCTGATTCTCCAAATCAACATGAACTCTCTCTTTTCTAAACACATAGCACTTGTGATGTATTTCTGTCACATAGGCACAGGTGACCTAAGCCCCTCATATGGCACTAACTGTATTTTGCCTTGCATCACCAATTCAGCTATGGTCTTATATTCTACAGTAAACTGTAACTTCCCTGAGAAACGATGTTCTATTCATCTTTACCTCTATTTCCCTAGAATGTCTATGACTAAGTTGGATCAATTAGATTTTTTTTTAGTGGAATCAACATAGAGAATCTTTGGCAATTTCCTTATTGCTTACATTATTTGCTTATTAGATATCTGGATTTGAATATTTATAACTCATTTTTCTGCTTAAAGTACAGACTGTAAAATTATCTCAATTGGTCTATGTCCATAAATTTATGACAGTCTTGAGAAAACATGGAAACTATCACTTTAGAGAGACCCTTATATTTATAAAGCTAGTGAATCACCTGTGTCTGTTGGTGCCATATGACATGAGATAGGACAAGCAGCCTGAGGGTGTTTTTTAAACACTGTTTTGAATGAACAAATAGTTGTTGCAAGAGCTTCAAGAAAGCACAGATGATATATAGCTATATTAACTATAATATCCCCTCCTATTTAAATTCCATACTTTTATTCATATAATAGTATTTAGTCACAGTTATCTGAGTAGAAAGAAGACAAAAGAAGACTTACTTTTCAGGGGTAAGAGAAGGTCATCTTGATTGAAGTGTTTAAGTCTTCTTTGTCCTCTTCCAATCTCAGTTATGGAGCATAATAAATTACCTTTCTGTCCCCACGAGAATTATTAACATAGACATACTATTACCCCCTGTAGCTTCTTAATACACAAAAAAGCTAAACAGGTGTTTCACTCTCTCACACACTATATTACCATGGGGGAAAATGTTCACATGAAGTATGTCCTCCTATAGAAGATGGAAGGAGTCTTGGAAAACCATATTTATTCTCCATGGCAGGCCATTGTCTACCTTTGGCCTAGGGAGCATGTGTGGAAGTTTAATTGAGGAATATGTGTCTCAGTTATTGAAGTTACACCCAGTGTAATGAAGAAAGTGGTGACTCCTCTAGTCAGTCAGCTCATATAAATTCAGCCTTATATATCCTGGGGCAATTGAAGTTATATTTAGGACCCTCTCATGAACACCAAGACAATAGACTATTTCCAGAACCTGAGATATGTCCAGCTCCTTGGGTTATTGTCCAAAGATTTTGTCATCTCCAAAATTTAAAATCTTACCTATGCCCAGCTAATTGCAATATTCGTTTTTGATCACTTGTCTTCAGAGAGAACCACTCTACTGCATTCCTGACCTGCAAACTTTTTGTTATGAAGTTAGTCATTTCTAAACTTCCATCATCCTTCATTTGTCTTTCCTAAAATGTTTATCACTTTCTACTTTCAGTTATAGTTATTTGTGTTCACGGCTTAGCTTCTTTTTGTAGACAGCAATAACAGGATATGTTCTGAGTCAGCTTTATGTCCTTCATAGTTGCTCAAAATATGTTAAAAAGAATGAAGAAAAATGAAAAAAGAAGGAAAAGGAGAAGATGAAAGAAAAGATGGCCAAATGAAGTCTTTCTAAATATTCTTTTCACTGGGCTTATTTGCCCTAGAAACAAGACACATAAAAATATAGGTGTTTTAAGTCAGGTATCCTGAATTCATATTCCAATGCTGTTCATTACTAGCTGTGTGATCTTGGGAAATTGTACTTAATCTTGTTGAAAAATAGATTTCTTCCTAGAAAAGTGGGTTCAAGGAATACTAAGTTGTGGGGTTATTTAAAGATTATAAGATTCTGGTGCCTTACGAAGCATGCAGGATAGATGGTTTTCAGGCAATGATGGTAACTGTATTGCCTTAACCCTTTCTCAATGGACCTGCTATCTATCAAACCCACAAACTGATTTCATTTATTCTTTCTCTAAAGCACACTTCCCTGATGGAAAGACCTTTCCCAGCTCCCATTGCTAAGAAATCAAGATCATACATATTTGTATTAGAATACACATGATAAATGAAGTAAGCTTCACAATAATACTAAAGCCTCATTTTGCTTTGAATGTCACATTTTAGAGCATGTGATAATTAGACTCTGATGTGAACTTTTATTTTATTTGTATTTGTATTTTTTTTTTTTTTGTAAAAGGAAGGAGGAATATGCCAGCTGGCTCATTGGGTTGTGCTACTTCTAAAGAATTATGATGATCTTTTTGTAAGGATAGGCTCTTACCTCCTTCCTAAAAGCAAAGTGATTCACTTGTCTCTCTGCTCCTCTCATGCTTTTACCCGTAATGTAAGCTGTGAATAGAGCGGCCTTTCAGTTTCTCCAATATATACTTTTTCTCAAGTGGCTTTATCAGGAGCCACTCACAGAAAATAATATAAAATCCCAGTGAAAATTGGCTTTCATAACAGGGAAAAGTGTGGCCTCAAATAACAAGAAATCCAGACGCAGTAGTAGACTCTGTACATAGCGGGTCATGGACTTGGCTCTGAATCTCTGTGTTACCTGGTAATTTTCCCAAGTTCTGACCTCAGATTTGGGTAGTATTGTGACTGCTGCAATTTCAAGTATCATATCTGGTTTTAATTACATTGCGGGTATAGGTAGGTACAAAAGCGTCTCATCTGATTGTAATAATATCCAGTGGGAGGATGGAACTCTTTCTATATCTTCCAAGAAGGCCTTTGGAGTCTTAACTTCAAATTTCATTGACGAGAGTCATGTCATATGCTCATTCCAAGCACATCCCTGATGAGGGGAATGAGATGACCATGATTAACATAGACCACTCAGGCCTGTGCACCTGAGGCACATGGCATGTGAACCACAGATAGATATCAGAAGCAAAAGTTTTCTGTTACAAAGGACAAAAGATATGAAAGAATATGGGGCAAGCAACTAACAGAATGGCTGTAGTGGATTTTTGAATATCAAAATGACTTTTTACGACTCTGAAATGAGAGTCATCATCTTTTGATGATATAGTGGGAAAATCAATGTGGAATTCCACGTCGTTTTCATGCATAAGCAAATCATGGGTTGGTTTAGTTTTGGTTTGGTTTTGTTAGGATAAAATCAGGAATATTTTGTTGCAAATATAGATATTTTTCCACTTTGAAAACAGATCTTGGGCCACTTTACCTGACCTAATAGATATGGGTGAGTGGAAAAAAAATTATAAAGTCAAGTCAGTAGTTTTTTGATGTTTAGCTATCTTTAAAATCTACCTCAATGGCAATTTTGAACTTTGGATGATTTTCGGGGTTTCTTTTTACCTGGAAAGACAAATGCATGGCAGAGCAAGAGTTGTCTTGTTTTATTTCTCCCTATCTGCTTTCTTTTTGCATTTACATGTGTATTTCTCATTTTTGTTTTCGCTCCATGGGATTTGAACACCCTCCTTATTTGAAGTCATTCCCTATTATGGACTGAATATTTTCATTTCCCTAAATGTATATGCTAAAGCCCTAACCTCCCATGTGATTAATATTTGGAGATGGGGCCTCTAAGAAAGTAATCAAGGTTAAATAAAGCCATAAGGGCAGGACCCTGATCTCATGAGATTAATGCCATTATAAGAAGAGACCTCAGAGAGTTCATTCTCTATATCCTCCACACATAGGCACCAAGGAAAGGTCTTGTGCTGACACAGGGAGAAAGCTGTCATTTACAAGCTGGGAGGAGACCTTCACCAGAAACTGAATTTGCTACCACCTGGATCATGAACTTTTACTCTCCAAAACGGTGAGAAAATAAATTTTTGTTCTTTAAGGTACCTAGTTAATAGTATTTTCTTATGATAGCCTGAGCAGACTAATACATTCCATAAAGTGGAATTCTTGTGGGAGGCAGTGACTCTTTCTTATTAAAGAAGGCTAAAAAGGCCCATCAGTCAGCCAACCCAGGAAAATGTGTGGTCTGGTCTGGGATCAGGTAAGTTAATGCTCCTGCCCAGGACTGGAAGAAGCAATGGAAATATCCAAATGCAGTTAAGGAATTAGCCACAGGACAGTAGGAGTGTTGAGATTCTAACAAATGAGTTATCAGGGGCATGACCTAAGCTGTCCACTGTCACCTTGTTTTGCTTGATTCTTGCTTGTTTTCTGAGTCTGGTTCTCCAGACTTTTGTTTGTGTGTTGTCTCATACCTTTTGCTACTTAAATGAGCCAGATTTTGTTTGTGTGTTTGCATGCGTGAATACTTTCTAATATGCCTCTGTTCATAAATAAGAGGCTGGCGGGTATTTAGAACCAAAAGTTAATGATCACATGACTACTCCTTTCACACTCTAAGGATCTCAAGAATCAAGACTATTTTTTAGCCACACATTCTCGGTCTCCCAGATTTGCTCCAAACCTTTCCCTGACTCTGG
Organism: Homo sapiens; assembly: GCF_000001405.40. Taxonomy (NCBI): domain Eukaryota; kingdom Metazoa; phylum Chordata; class Mammalia; order Primates; family Hominidae; genus Homo; species Homo sapiens. Next base: position 118,356 of record NW_025791768.1, read on the forward strand.
AGCCTTTTATTCATCAAAAAGAAGTTCATAGCCGTGTGGCATGAGGGATAAGATTACGGTCCAAGAAAATAGTTATCTTGGATCAAAAATTTCTTTTAAGGCTATTCTCATTCTGGAAAAAAAGAAAAGATTAAAAGCCCCAGTTATTTTGTGACTTTAGCAATTGTGTTCAGAAATCTGTTCTTGGCAAGAGAGGCAAGCCTATCTGCTGGAGGGAAACAGGAGGCCTGCTGGCTTTGCAGAAGGCAATGGTGTTTTGGTTCCTGTTGAAATTTGTGTGTTTTGTTTGTATACAAAGCAACATTCGTATAAAATATGCTCTTCATCATTACTTTATTCTGAAATGGAAATAACTGAAAAAATGTTTTTTGACATTCTCCACCAGGGTGTACACCATTTGTTACAACTGCAGAACTTGCATTGGCACATCATTATGACTCAGGGACCATAGTTTACATTAAGGCTCACTCTTTTGTTGTTGTAGTTGTTGAAACAAAATCTCACTGTGTCATCCAGGCTGGAGTGCAGTGGCATGATCACAGCTCACTGCAGCCTTGACTTCCTGGGCTCAAGTGGTCCTCCCACCTTAGCCTCCCATGTGGCTGGGGCCATAGGTGCTTGCCACCATGCTCAGCATTTTGTGTGTGTGTGTGTGTGTGCAGATAGGGTCTCACTATGTTGCTCAGGCTTGTTTTGAACTCATGGGCTCAAGAGATCCTTCTGCCTTGTCCTCCCAAAGTGCTGGAGGCATGAGCCACAGCTCTTAGCCCTAGGGTTCACTCTTGATCTTTTTATTCTATTAAATTATTTTGCCTACAATTGCTAAATATTTTCTTCTTCAAAATCAAACAAACAACAAATCAAATCTTGTCTAGTGGAGACCACAAAAGAAATACCTTCAGCATGTGAAGTTTCATTCAGTAAAAATGTATTGAGTGCCACCTGTATATAATTTCCTGTAACATTGTTCTTCATAAAACTGGCCGGGGGTGGAGGTCAGGAGCAGCTCTGATTTGTAGTCTTTGCAATGTCCATGGTGTAAATACTACACTTTCACCACCATGGCTGATCTCAAGCTACCAGAGTGATTTCACTGAACCTGGAACTGGAAAGGGTACAATCTCCAGCACTAGAATTCCAGTATAGAGAGTAAAAGAAATCACATTCAGCTGGTAGTAGCAATGAAGATGTCAAAGAGGACTAGTTCTGGGAAGGCTAAGATTAGGTAAAGATTCTATATGAAAGGAGATAGAAGATGGTGGTGTGCATCAGAGAACGGCGGGAACAGAAGGTGGGTAGAAGGGAGCAGAGGGCTATAATGGAGGACAGTTGAAAAAGGATATGTTGGGAGAATGAGTGTAATAAGGATGGAAGGAAGCAGCACACCAACAAGGAGAAAAATGCTGAGTTGGTGTTTGACATATGGATCTTCTCTTGTATTAAGGCATGCAGGGCTATCATCACATAAAAACTAGCAGCCACACAGGTCACATTTCTTGGGAAGGACACTAAGTAAACCAGTGGCAAAGGCATTCAGCTTTCCAAAGATTATTCCATCAGCACTTGCCTATCGGTGCATTCCATGTCTCTGGGCTTGCATTAGGTTAAAGGTCTTTTGTATCTGTGCAAGGTACCAGGAAATAGGTACAAGAGCCACAAGGCAGTATCCTTGAGCCTGCACTGTGACTCCAGAATGTGGATATCACCAGAGGGGTTTTGTTCGAGAAAAACAGCTTTAAATGATCTATGTTTCTTAGTCATTTTGGGTCTAGCCGGGCAGCCAGACTCCCTGCAATGCCAGGCCAGTAATTGTGTGGGCTCAGAATATCAAGAAAGCAGACATTTATCAACAAGGTGCATTCTGAGACATAGAACTCCCTGAGCAGGGGAGAGGCTGTGCTTCCAGGCTCAGTTATCCCTTCTGTTTTGGAGACATATCTTTATCAAGGAAGAGCAGGATAATGATGATGCTTTCATGCTCTCTATGGTGCCCAAGGCCCGTGAGGAGGCATTCAGCTTCTTCATTTTTCCTGCTTGACTGTGCCTGAATATACGAGAAGCTTCAGGATGCATGGCATGTTTGCTACTTCTTTTCTCTTCCTTCCCGCTCTCATGCTGCACTGATGTTAGGCTGATTCCTTGTCATCATAAAATTAGATGCTGTCTTTGAATCAGTGTTTCTTTTCAGCTTCCTTGGAAGGGATATCTCCATCTGCCATGTCCTCAGGTGATCTCATAGGAAGGAACTAAGGTCCAACGAAATTCATTTGCCCAGGTTCAAAAAGCAGAATTAGGTTCTATTGATCATCTTTAAAAGCTCCACCCAAGAAGGGTCATAACTCATAATAACTCATTATACAGAGCCTAGGGGATACCACCTGCAAGACATGGAGAAGAACTGGCCAAGAGAGGGCCCAGGTGAAAGCAGAGTAACAGCTCATAATAGAAGCAAGTGTCCATAAAACTGAGCTGTCTTCCTTTGCAGGCACCAAGCCTATTTTTAAACATAGACTAAAAACACAAACAATGAAGCAAATCTGTTTGATGTCCATTTATGACTGACAGATATACTGCTTCCAGCATACCAGGGTCCCTTTCTTATTTTTGTTCCCCTGTGGAGGAGGAGGAGGACCTCAGCATTCTATGCCTTGTCTCCTTAGCTTTTACAATAGCTGTTGATTTGTTTCGGTGACAGAATCCTGCTAGCTCCAGATCTAGTTACTGGAGCATAAACTAAACTCAGAGTAGGAGATGACCATGACCAATGAACTCTCATTCTACTGCTTGTGTCTATGAAGGAAAGACCACTTGACCTTCTGTAACAATAGCCCTATCTCCTCAGTTATATTCACTTATCACTGAACACAGGTTCTTCCTACTTAAAACTCTGGGAACACTCCATTCCCTCACCTGGTAGCTTCAGTTGCAGTCAGGAATGAGATATCTGGTCTCCCATACTGAGTCCCTGTGAGCTGATTCTTCAGAATGGAATCCTACTTCTATCATGGTACTACATTGCTCTGAAGTTTTCTGCTTCCATGTCTGTCTCTTCTTTACAGGCAGGGAATGTGGTCCATTCATTTCTGTATACCTGTCACCAAGCACAGGGTGTGGCAGACATTAGGAGACTTAATAAGTGGTTAGATTCCATTGCCACAAACTAGCTAGAGAAAAAAATAATATATGTCAGGTTAAGGCTCTGCCTTGCAGTGTCCTCCTTGCTGGTCTTTCAGTCCTGGGCAGAAAAGAGCAATAATGAATTAAAAGCCCAACACCTCCTATCAGAGATCAGCTAACAGAAATCCCTATGCAGATCAATAAGTCTATTCTCTGACATTTGTTCTCCCTGTGGCCTGGATAGCCTTCTTTTGTCTTTGTTTACTGGGAGATTTTCTCTGTTTACCTGCCTCATATTCAGACCTATAGAAACTTTGGGTCCTGATGCCTATCAATAGCTAGCTGGTTCTATCCCTAGCCTAGCCCAAGCATAAGCTCGGGAAAATCTGGATTTCCAGACTAAATACAGGAAGAAACATGTGCTGTTTGTCTGCTATTTGTCATTTTTGGTCCAGTCTAGCATCCTGTTTTCAAAGGGCTTTACGAAGCCCTATGTACCTCATTCTTCTCCTGTGCAGTATAAATAGGGAATAGGCTTCAGGGCTTACCAAGTGCTTCGAGACAGTGTTGTGTAGCAGAGGGAAAAATACTTTGAACATGGAAGATCTGAAAACTTTTGAATATTGGCTTCATCTTTCCCCCAATTAGCTGAGCAATTGAAGAGTCACTTAACCCTCTCAGTCTGAGTTTCTTCATCTTTATATGCAAGTAGTTGCATTAGATGATTTTTATGGTATTCTGTAGTTCCACATTTTATAAGCCTTAGATTTTAGCTCTTCTTCCATTATCAATACAATTAGGTTATTTGGATTTAAATCAGCCCATCCTGACCTATCCTAGGACACATGTCTTCGTGCCGGTAACTATTTTTTTCAAGACTATGAAACTAATATCTTCTCTGAACTACAGATACTGGCATCTTAGGGTCATGAGTATAGATTTGTTAGATACTCCACCAAGATACAATGTGGTATCCGTGCCCAAACCAGCCATTATTGTAGTCTAAAAGAAATAATTGAGCAATGCACATTTGTGGTGGCCAAGCAGAAGAGAAACCAGAACTTTTGTGCACACTTTAGATAGTGCTGACTTACGTGCCAGTAAATAAAGTTGCTCTTTACACTGGGCTCCCAATCTCAAGCGCTATTTTTAATTCACAGAGTTAAATCCAGCTGAGTTTGAAATCTGTTGCCACAAGTCACCAGAGGGACTGTATATCTTTTCTTTTCAGAGAAGAAGCCAAGCACAGCAGTTCAATTAAACTAGCACTAAGTCCTGCACTCCAAAGACTGAAGGGCCTCAGGGAAAGGCATCAAGGGGAGAGTTATATGCTACCGTTCACCCCTCTTGGCTAGAAAAAGCATGGTGTTTGTGACCAGAAAAATTGAAACAGAATGAGATTCAAGATGGCAGCCACAGCCTCCTTTTCTATTAACCTCCAGGCTGGAGTGCTCTGTAGAAGGAAGGGTGACCAAGATAAATTACCTCTTGATTCTTATTGCATTGTTTCACTAATGTAAGAAGGCTATCTGAGATGTATTCAGTTCCCACCAAAAAAATGCCTAAGATTGTAAAACTTATTAGGACAGAAGCTCTTAGATCAGCCAAGCAAACCGAGTATCTGGAAAAAAAAAAAAAAACAAACCCTAAAACACACTTCCAGGATTTCAGAATAAATGAGAGATGAAATGGTAGAACTGCTATGATAATTATTGGCTCTCGAATTAATGGTAATAATTACCTTAGCAAATTGCCATGTAACTGTTCAGTGAACAAGTTCATAATCTAATCCTACATTGTTTTTTTAACCAGTTTCTCTCTATTTTTATGCTTCGAGGCTGAAGCTTCTTGCTTTAGAATAATTCTTTCTTTAATCCCTGCTAACCTAAGCCCTTGCTATACATAATGAGAGTAAAATAGTCGAAAATTATTTAATGAATGTTAATCCTATGTCCTGCACAAAAGGATCCTGGACATATCGTCCAGACAGACCTATCCCCAGAGTGTTGTGAGGGCTCCTGCTCTTTAAAGAATTAATTGTCATCTCTGGGCCCAATTCTGGCCTTCCAGGAGCCCAGAGAAGGTGGCTGATATGAAGCATAGCTGTTTCACTTCACTTCATGTAACAAGGACTAAGTGGCTTTTCTTCTCAGCCCCAGCTGCAGCCTCCAGTTAGAGGAGATTTTTTTCTAATATAAAAGTAGAATTATTGACTTTATTCTCCCCTGAACCCTTTATGATTTCTTATGCTTTTGTTGGAATTATTCTTTTGGTTTTGATATATGAGTCCAAAAGTTTTCAGATATTTTTAAAAAAATTATTGCTGTTTTTTATTTGCAGTTGTCATCATTGTGGTTTTAAGTCAATCTTTAGGTTACTTATTTAATCATCTGATCGTTTAAGAAAAATTTGCCAAGCTTAAACTGAGTATCTAGTTTTATACTCAAGCAGGATATTAAAATATATTCTATAAAATGTTACAACTTAGCGTGAGCAAAAAGACATATGGCTCAAACTGGTGATTGCTAAGTGAAACAGCGAAGTGCCAAATGTGGGAGAAATTTCTGTAGGTTTGGATACTAAGGAGAAGCCCAATGCTGAGGTGAGACTTGAGTTTGTCTTGGAATAATTTTTCATGGAACAATTGATGAATAAATGGAAGAATGAACAAATACACACTACCTTAAATATTGAAAGACAAGAACCAAGAGTTAACTCTCAGAGGGAGCCTGCTCCAATGTTACTGATAGTATACAAGTGGAACTAAATTTCCATTTACAAATATACATGGCTGTGTCTGAAGGGGTTTGAGGAATGTGTTTATGATTATAAGTACAGATAGTTGAGAAGTCAAATAGCATGGTGCTTGGCACACTGTTAATCAATAAATAGCTGTTGAATTAGTTGATGTATCAGGTAATATGGAATGGTTAAATGCATGGACTTTGGGATCAGAGATATTATACTTTGGAGTGCTTGCTCTGCTATTGTTGGGAATTTGAGAGTTATCCAACCTGGAAAATTCAACTTTCTCACTGGTGGAATAGATGGAGTTATTGTAATTATACCTATTAAATAAGATTTTTGTGAGGTACAAGTGGGCTAATGTAATATAAAATGCTTGGGAAGTTGCTTGGACATTGTAAGCACCCAATAAATACAAGTTACTAATATTATGCTATTTACTATTGTTATTATTATATACTTACAAGAGGTAAATATGTATTGTTATTATTATATACTTTCAAGCGGTAAGTATGCATGTATGTTGGTGAATGTATGTAAAGGGTTGTTGGAAGAGGTGTATAAATGGGGTCGTATGGAAATGAGTATGCATGGATAGAGAGGCTTAGGGGTGAAGTAGGTGGTAGTATCAGTCAGGACAGAGGGCACAAGCTGGTACCTCTTCACATTGAAATGCTCAGAAGCCCTTAGTAATACCGGCTTTGGGGAAGGGCTTCTTAATGTTAAGCAACAATAATGGCACTCAGTTTGGGCTTACCAGTGCATCAATATCCTGACTACCTCTTTTCCCAACAATTAACACCTGAGAACAGCCCTCACTGAATTTACCCCGTTAATTGTTCACAGGATGGGATCAGGAATTAAGGCATTATTTTCCTCTAAGTCATTTCAATTTCTCAAAAGTGTTATAAAGAGGAACAGTTATTCTGGCAAATGCCATTTTATCCATATTTGCTAGATAACCTTAGACTTGCAGGTCCTTTAGACAGCTGTAAACTTCTTGTACTATAATTCCAAACAAGTTTCTTATCTTTTTAACACAAGAGAACCCTCCGCTGAAAATTAATTTAGGGAAATTGAAAGTCCTTTTTCTGTGTTCACCTGTTTGTAAATGATAAGGACCATAAACAACAGTTTTAATAATTCGGTCCTTTGCCCAGGAGCAGCAGTTTATGATCCCAACCACCACCTCATACCCACATGAGCCGATCCTCCATTTCAAGCCAACACTCACTTTCTGTGATGAAATGCAAGGGCTCATCCCAATTTAATACATGGCTTCCTTCATATGGAACATGAGAAGCAGGCTGTCTGCTAGAGACCGGGCTGGGAGTGTTTCTTTTGCCACCAGACTGCAGGGGAGAAAATTAAATGGGGAAAGAATTTGAGCTTATTTTTGTTTTCTAAAACAATTTATTTATTTTTTTTTAAAAAAACCTCATTTCATGGGGAAGCTATGGCTACAGGAATGTGAGATGAAATGAACAGTAGCAAAAGAACCAAGATTAATAGCACTAGAAGGACATATTAACACCGAACATAAGTGAAACTTGAATGATGAAATAAATGTATAACTTAAATGTATAAGTCACTTAGGCAGAACAATTACTGTTTTATGGAACAAAAAGTACATTCCTTTGTAAAAATGAAGACCACACAAATCAGTCTTTTACTAATGCACAGGTGGAAGCTCCTACACATTACATTTTCACTGAAGGCTGGAACGTTCTGAAAGCAATATCTGGGTATGAACTCATTTTATCCATCTTTTCTCCCCTCCACTTTCTCTGTTTCAGGATCTTTCAAGCAAATTATGTGATAATTTCTGTGCCTTGATCATGCTGGCCCCTCCATCCCTGCAGCTTACCCAGTCACCATCTACGATGGAACAGGCTGGTCTCTGTAAGGATCTTCTCCCTATGGCTGATTAGAGCACTGTTACACCTTTGAGGGGGATTACATCATGCTTGATTTCCAAATTAGAAAATAAAAATAACCTACATTGAAATAAGTTTATTTTAAAAAGTAATGGAAGGGGGCAGTCTCTCATGGAATACTCTAAGCAAATCTAAAAGTTCTCTCTGAGCTCAGAAACAGGCATGGAACTACAAGAGATGTCCATTGATTAAATTCACCATTGATGAAACAACCATTCCCTAATTTCTCTACTAAAGTTCTCTAAATCAGAATGTCTATCCTTGAAAGAAAATCATCCCACCAAAATTATGTCTCCATCATTTTTATATAAAAATGATCTTCTGAGAATCCATCAATATAATTTATATTAACAAAAATAAAAATCATATAATCATCTCAATAGATACAAAAAATTTTAAAAAGTTAAACATTCATTCAGGACAAAAAATTAAGAATACTGTAAACAGAAGGGAAATTCTTTTGAGAACGCACCCAGTAATGCAATATTTTCAAGTAACAAATCTGCACATGTACCCAACGCATCTAAAATAAAAGTTGAAATTTTTAAAAAAGGGAATTCTATGAACTGATTTAGATAAAGTACCCAAAATCCATAGCTAACATTGTGCATAATATGAAAGAATAAGTGCTTCATCCCCTAATGCTTCATCCCCTAGTGCTTCATCCCCTAATGCCAGAATGATTTTCTCTGTCACTAATCCTATTCAACATTTTACTGGAAGACCTAGCCAGTGCAATCAATAAAGAAAAATAAGTAAAAGACATACAAATATCCACAGAAAATATAATTGTCTTCAGATAAAAATCCAAATAGTCCACAAAAGTATCTACTTGAACTAATATATGAGTCTGGCAAGATTACATCATAACATAAAACAATCCATTTTATTTTTATATATGAGCAACAAGCAAATGGAATTCATTTAAAAATACCACTTATAGTTGCACCAAAAAATAAAGTAGGTATAAATCTAACAAAATATGTGAAGAATCTATATACTAAAAACTACAAAATAATGATGAAAGATGATCTTTTAAAAAAATTCTTTGTAAAAGCTTTAAAAATTTTGACTAGTTATATGGTTTTGAGTAAAGTTACTGACTTTTCCTTGACCTTGAAAGCTAAACTATTAAACAAAGTCTCCTGCAATGCTATGGATACACAACTGCTTCTGTGCAATGTCAGTAAAAGCTGATAATGGTGCTTAACACTTATTGGACGCTTAATATATGGCAGGCACTATACTAAGTTGTTAACATTCAATATCAAATTCAATCATTGCAATAACTATGGGAGGTTGATGTTATTATTATTCCCAAATTACAGATTAAAAAACTGAGGCTAAGTGAAGTTTAATAATTTGCCAAAAATTACACAGTACGTATCAGAACTAGGAATCAAGTCCATATGTTTCTGGTCCTACATGCCAAGCTCTTACTGCACACCATTTTCATGGTGAGGCAGGCTGGCAGGAGAAGGAATAGGGCCTTTTAAAGCACATGCAGAAGGAAGTGCTCCTTCTGCCACTTTGGGAATCATTGGATTTAAAGTCAATTATCATTCTTCTTCCTCTTGGCACACTGGTTTGGGACCATTATCAACTTCTATATTTTGTGTCTGGAGGGGATGTTATGGTCTTCATGTGTGCCTTCTTTGTGTGGCCTTCATCTTCTTTTCTCCATCAAGTGTGTCTCACTCACTGATTATTTCACATTCTCCCAAACTGCCTTCCTCTCAGACCTTTAAGGTTTAAAGGAGCTGGAGTCAGCTCTTCTCTTAGCAACTGATTCTAAGTCTGGCATCTGGGGACTGAGCCTGCTGCCAAGATGGTAGTATCTGTGTGGCCAGCCAACCTTCCTTCCTATCACCCACCCCAAAGCTGCGCAAATCCCCTAGGGAGTAGCATGAGGCTGCTAAGCAGCACATATATCTCCTGTGGATGCTGCTGATCCCCACATTTATTGTACCTTGGTTGGTGTTTGTAGCCTATTTTCCAGCTTTGAAAAGTGAAGTGCATTGTATCTAGAAACTGACAAGTAAAGATTTTTATCCATTTCCTGTGTCCGGTGTGATAGCACAAGCACTGTGTTTTATGCTTAAAACACAGCCAGTTTTGTATCCAAATGCAAGCAAGTAGAAAGTGTGGGCCTAGGGAAGCTAGTTGATGAAGGTATCCTGGTAGGCAATTAAGAAAGGGACAAGATAATGCAGGAAAATTTTATTTCTCTCATTTTGCACAAGAATCAGTGCCTTTCCCTTCCAATATATCAGCTACTTCTGTCCCTGTGCCACAGTGGAATTTTTTTTTTTGAAATTTATGGGTGCACATTGGCTATGTATCATTGCTCTTATTTAATTTCCTGGCAAACACAAGTACATCCACATTCCCCTCTAAGCTGCACCTTGCTGCAATCAACACATCGCAGAAACATATGCCTTCACCTGGAGGATAAGACGGGAAATAAACATTCTTCCAAGGAGAGGCAGCCGTCTTCAGAACCCTCTCTCTGGAGCAGAAAAATTGGATATACGACCTACTAGGCCTTCCAAAGTTTACACAGGGTCCAATGAAATTTTGGTGATTGGAGGGTTACTCAAAAAATAGTTTCTCTAGATATCATAATACATGCCAAATTCTCAGGAGACCAGATATGGTCTGGAAATTTAGCTACTTTCAACTGCAGCATATATTTGCCTCTTTACAAGTACATTCCAAATCTTCTCTCCTGCAGGGATTTCATGAGACTCGGGTTTTAGCATTGGTCCTAATGCTTTTATAGTGTCTGTGGAAACAGCCACTCTTCAGTAAGCAGAAGTGGCTAACTGTGGGGTAAGCAGCTGATGTAGTTTGGATATTTGTCCCTGCCCACATCTCATATTGAATTATAATCCCCAATGCTGGAGGTGGAGCATGGTGGGAGGTGTTTTTGTCATGGGGTGAATCCCTCATAACTTGTTTCTGTGTTTGTGATAGTGAGGTCTCACGAGATCTGGTTATTTAAAAGTGTATGACACGCCGCCTTCTCCCCTGCCTTGTTCCTGCTTTCACCAAGTGATGTGCCTGCTTCTGCTTCCCCTTCTACTGTGAGCCGAGTAAACCTATTTTCTTTATAAATTACCCAGTCTCAGGTATTTTCGTTTTTTTTTCTTTTCTTTTTTTTTTTTTTTTTTTTTTTTTTTTGAGACAGGGTTTGGCTCTGTCGCCCAGGCTGGAGTATAGTGGCACAGTCTTGGCTCACTGAAACATCTGCCTCCCAGGCTCAAGTCGTCCTCCTACCTCAGACTCCTGAGTAGCTGGGGACTACAGGAGCACACCACCATGGCCAGCTAAGTTTTGTATTTTTTCTAGAGACAGGGTCTCACTTTGTTGCCCAGACTGGTCTTGAACTCCTGAGCTCAAGTGATCCACCTGCCACAGCCTCCCAAAGTGCTGGGACTACAACCATGAGCTGCTGCCCTCAACCAGGTATTTCTTTATAGCAATGCAAGAATGGCCTAACATACACCTCCAACCCAAGTCTCTCTCATGCCAACCTCACACTATTTCTGACATTCTCATGGAAAATGATCTGAATGTTTATACCCATCCCCCCCAAAAAATTGTACGTTTGAATCCTAAACCCTAAGATGATGGCATTAAGAGGTGGGGCCTTTGTATGATTAAGTCATGAGAACAGAGCCTTGATGAATAAGATTGCTGCTTTTATGAAAGAGTCTCCAAAGAGTTTCCTTGTCTCTTCCATCTTGTGAGGACACACAGAAGACAGTGTCTATCAACCAGAAAAACGGCCCTCCCTAGAAACAAAATCTGCTGGCACCCTGATCTTGGATTTTCCAAGATTCCAGAACTGTGAGAAGTAATATTTTTTGTGTATAAGCTACCCAGTTTGTGGCATTTTGTAACCGCAGGCCAAATGGACCAACAAATCATGATATTCCACAGCTTTGCCTCTGGTTTTCAAGGTTACATGCTAGGACTTAGCACACTTGTTTTCTGAGAGTTGGGTACAATATACTACAAAGGCAATAATTAATGATGACAGATTTATGAAGCAATTATTTTTACCAAGGTATTTCTAAGCATTTAATGTGCACAATCACATTTAACCCACATAGCAACCTTATGTGTTAGATGCTTATAATGTTACATTATAAAGTTGAAGCAACTGAGTCTTGAAGAGATAAAATTATCTTACATGAGGTCATTAATTTATGAAGAAGCTGAGATGGGACTCAATCCTGGGTCTTTCTGACAAACCCTTGTGTTTAGTCAAATGATTGTACTACCTTTGTAGAAACTATCCCTTCCAGAGCACTAACTGTCTGTCCCAAATTAGACTTCTGGCATCTGACAGGATCAGAAGAAATGATATAGCCAATGGCAAGCTCCTCTGATAGGTAAGGTTAAAAGAAATTGTTTACCTGAACACTTTTTACCCTAACATGATTTGAACATCTCATGTGTCTCTCGGCTAGAGAGTTACATATAGAGGATCTAATCAGGTAAGAGAGTGAGATAGTAGTGTGTGCTGGGAAAAAGGGCACAGGCTGTGTCTGCATGGAGCTTGAATCTTGTCTTTTCCAGCTGTTCCCCATAAGTCATATCTGAAATGAGAGGAGAATGTACATATATATGAGCACCAAGTGGAACCTGGGGCAGGGGAAACTGTCCCGCAGGGCCTGAATGCTATGATCAAAATCTATGTTGAAGTTTAATTTCCAATGCAATGTTATTAAGAGGTGGGGACTTCACCAAGTGATTAAATCATGGGGGAGGAGCCTTCATGAATGCAATTAGTGTCCTTATAAAAGAGCTCCAGGGAACTAGCTAGTCCCTATTTGCCCTTCCATTTCCCCTCTGTTGGCACCTTGATCTTAGACTTCCAAGCCCCCAGAACTGTGAGAAATATATTTCCATTATTCATAAATTGCCCAGTCTAAGATATTTTGTTACTGCAGCAGGAACAAACTAAGAAAATGGGAAATATCATTGTTCTTAGGGGTGATGTTTAATATATTTGAGTGTGGATAGCACATTCCATAGGACAGATACTGTCCTTGGTGCTGAAGAAGGGTCCTAAAAGTTCCCTGCATCCTTCCTGATGAGGGATGCCACAGTCCAAGCAGACATAGAGACTTCAAGGTAGAGTATGCGATTATCCTTCAGGCTTCAGTCTGGGATCCAGTGGGCTCCTGACATGACCTTTCTCCCCTCACCCCCTACAAACTGGCCTTGTCCCCATGAGTCCATTGCCTGCTGAGTGTTGGACTTCCTTTCTGGGTCTGTAATCTGTCCTCATTCAAGTCTAGTGGGGTCCTGACCCTATGAGAAATGGCCCTTGCTGGCCTAATCTCAGCAATCCCTGGATAATAAAAAGAATTATAAATAAATAAATACATAAATAACTAAATTAAATTGAGGTTGTACCTATACCGATTAACCTAAATGGCTCAAGTCTTGGCTCTACCACTTTCTAGTTAGGTATCTTCAGGCAAGTTACATTTTTTTTTTCTTTCTTACATGCCATACTACTCCACTTTTGCAATGAGCTGTGGTTTGGGAAATAGCATTTTGTTTTTATCATGTACCTATGATAGTCACATATTAATAACTATTCCCTGGGAATCAACCACTCCAATCTAGTTACAGTAGAAACAAATGGTTTATGAACTGCTAACTTTTTCCCTTGAATGTTCATTCATCTATAAAAAGATGCCTGCCCTCCGAGATTTTCTCCCAGCATTGCCGTCTTCAGGAAGTCTCCCTAACAACAACCTACACCCACAGCTCTGCCATATCAGACAGGCCCCCCCATCACCCCCAAGCTTAGCCCTGTCTCAGAACACTTCACAACTTAACAAGTTGTGCGGTCCTTTGAAACCAGTGACTGTACCTTTTCTTTTCTAGTCTCAGCTTTCCTAAGACTCCACATAAGTGTTGGCACTCAATACATATTGGAAAAATGAATGAATAAATGAAAACAAATTACTCCAAAAAATTCCTATTCTTCACATGAAGCTTGTAATCAGAGCAAAAATTAGTTTCAGATCATGAAAGAACTAAGGTTCAGTTAGGTGAAATGATTTGCTTGGCTAAGGTAAAAGCAGAAAAATACCTGCAGGATTCTGGGTTAGAACCCAGGTCTTCTAGGAGTCAGGACTATAACCTGGGTCCTATCTCCCACTTCTATACTCTTTCAATTGTATTTTCTTACTAGGTAAGTTGCCTGAAATTTGTGGGTTTTGCTGCAATGATACTTTACTGACCTGCAATATTATCTTGAGCCAGATATACTTCCTTGATGTCATGAAATAGTAATTATTGCAACATAGGAAAAAAGAAGTGTGCACTGTGTTTTTGGAGGCTTGTTCCCTGTTATTAATTCAGGTGCTGAAGGTTGTGACACTTGTCATCTGAAAGATAATTTTCCTCAGATTTAATAATTGCAGTTAAGTCTCAGATTTGATTTTAATTTCAGACCTTGATGTCATGAAGTATTAATTATCTCCATTACCTACTGATAATATTCCTGCAAACATGCACTTGTTTGATTGGCAGGAATTTTTATTAATTTACAAGGATGAACTCAATTAGAAAAGCTCATTTATCGGCACAATTCCACTTACATATTTACAACTTAGAATTGAGCAAAATCCTAACCAACTTACAACTGCAAACATAGGGGGTCAAGCCATGTGTGAGTAGGGTGGCCACAGCTGACTGACTCTAGCAGAGATTGATTGACATACATTTCCATGTCTGATCTACCTGATTTTGCTTTAAAATGAGCGAGTAAAACCTTTGGGACTAATTACGATTCTTATAGTAAAGTAATGAGAGAGATTTTCCATGTCGACTTGACAGTTTTCCCCCTCCATTTCCATGCCTAGGATTTTTCTTGGGGCTGGCATAGTCACATCTCATTTCAGGAACTACATTTGTTCAATGGTGCTTTAGTCACACACAGCAAAAAAAAAATCTTAATGAATGCTAATATTATGTTAAGTGAATAGGTTCCTCATAGCTACTCACTGTACATCCAAGAAAGAAAAAAAAAATTACATCAATGAGATGTAACACTATCCCTTGATGGGGTAGGACCCTCGGGATTTGAGGCAGCTAACCCTGCCCTGTCACTTACAGGAGTAACATACTTTGACTTGGATAAATTCCTCCTGATGGAATTAATATTTATGAAATTAAAAGAGAGTGATTTATCCTGAGCTGGATTCTCCAACTCAAGAATATGGTAGGGGTTGTATCTTGACCCTCCTACTGAAGCATATCTTTGTTAAATGACTTTGTGGGAACAGTACATTCTGGTTCTGCATCAGCAGAGAAAACTCCATGCTTAGGCTCGGGGAATAACAATGCAGAATAATAAAACAAAACAAAAAAAAATACCAACAGTGCCTTTTACTTACAGAGTTCTTCCCAAAGGAGTGCAGCTGCATTGTATGCCTACACATAGCCAAGCCATAAAACCCTACAGAGTGCTCAAAACAAACAAACAAAAATAATAATTCAGTCCTCCTCTATCTATAGGGCAAACGGGAATTTGGGGGTAAAGTTCAGCTAGAGTAAAAACCTTATCATAGAGATTCCTAAATCAATTTAGAAGAGGGAACAATTGTTATTTATGATTTAGGGCTACAGCAAACATCATATTTTTACTTTAAATATTTGCCTTCAGAATCATTTTAGACTGTGCTGTAATAAAAGGAGCTGAATTATTTTTCTACAAAGGTAACTGTATAGGCTTTACAACAACAACAAAAAAAACATGTTATTCGAGTCATTTTCAAGCACCTTTAAGGACAGTTACAAAGGCAGTTGCTGGAAACACAGTCCTTGAACAGAGCTTTGCTCCCTTCCACTCCTTCTTCTGTCAATCTTCTTGCTGTACTGGCCAAACTGCCTCTTGGGTCTGTCAGTTACTGGTTGCTGTAGTTTAAATGTTTGTGTCCCCTGCAAAATTCATATTGAAACTTAATCCCCAGTGCAATAGTATGAAGAAGTGGGACCTCAAGTGAGAATGTCTAGTGGCAGAATTATAAGGAAAATTAGGGCCATATCCCTATAAAGTGTTCAATAAGATAATGTTTCACAGATTTCTCAGTGTCTGCTTTTTTTTTTTTTTTTTTTTTGAGATGGAGTCTTACTCTGTCACCCAGGCTGGAGTGCAGTGGCACAATCATGGTTCACTGAAGCCTTGACCTCCCCAGGCTCAGGTGATCCTCCCACCTCAGCCTCCACACCTGGCAATTTTTTTTTTTTTTTTTTTTTTTTTTCCGTGGAGAAAGAGTTTCGCTGGGTTTTGCCATATTACCCAGGCTGGTCTTGAACTCCTAGGCTCAAGCAATCCACCCACCTCCCAAAGTGCTAGGCTTCAAGTGTGGGCCACCAAGCCTGGCCTTAGTGTCTCTAAAGCATTAGTTTTTTGTTGAGGTGAATATCCAACGATAGATTGCATACACATCTCTCTAAACTATTAGAGCTAAAGATTACTCATAAAATTTGTTCAACAACACTTTAAAAAATGTTGCACTGCTTATGATGTTATTCCCACAAAATCTAGGCATGATTTTGTCCTTGGTTTAAGGGAGTATAAAATATTTAAAATAAATTTATTCATTTATTATACTTATTCATATAATATAGATTAATGCAATGCTAGGTGCCCCAAATCATGTAAAATACAGATTTAGTTCTTGCCCTTGAAAAGTTGGCAATCTCCCTGATGAAACAAATTGTATACATAAAAGTAGAATTCAGTGTATAATTAGAGCTCTATCTCATATGCTGGTAGCATCTGTAAGACTGGACAAACAGAAAACCAGGTTTTGACTCTCTACAAGACACTGGATTCTACCAAATGTTGTTGGCCTGAATTAAGTTTATCAGGGTTTTGTCTCCTTGATTCCCACTTTCCTCTGAATTGTTTTATATCAGCTTCTCCCCAGTTCTTACCCACTGCCATGATTCTGAGATATGTTTCCCTAGAATTTTGGAATAGTCAATAAATACTTAGGTAATCAGATTTAATTTCACACTTCAAATCTATTTCTGCTCCTCAATTTTATATTGCTGATATTCCACCCTTAGCCTGTGTGTGATCCTCTTTATCAGTGCTTATGTGGTAGAAATATGAGCCATATATGTAATTCTAAAGTTTCTAATAGCCATATTAAAAAGTAAAAAGAAACAGCTGAGATTAATTTTAACAATATATTCTAAACTCAAAATGTCAGAAATGTTATTTCAACAAGTAACCATATCAAAATTATTAAAATGGTATATTGCATTTAGTTTTGTGCAAAGTCTTAGAAATGCAGTATATATTTGACACTTATGGCACATCTTAATTCAGACCAGCCACATTTCTGGTATTCAGCAGCAATGTGTGGCTGGTGGCTACCTTGTTGGACAGCATAACTTTAGAACAATGATTTTAAAAGATGATGCCTGGACTACTGAGAGTGTTTCAGAAATACAAATTCTCAGTCTCCATCTAACAGATTCTAGGATTCTAGGACTGGAACCCAGCAATCTGTTCTTTGTTTGTTTGTTTGTTTGAGATGGAGTCTCGCTCTGTTGCCAGGCTGGAGTTCAGTGGCGTGATCTCAGCTCACTGCTATCTCTGCCTCCCGGGTTCAAGCAATTCCCATGCCTCAGCCTCCCAAGTAGCTGAGACTACAGGTGCACACCACCACGCCTGGCTAATTTTTTTTTTATATTTTATTTTAGTAGAGATGGGGTTTTACCATGTTGGCCAGGATGGTCTCGATCTCCTAACCTCATGATCTGTGTGCTTTGGACTCTCACAGTGCTAGGATTACAGGCGTGAGCCACTGGGCCCAATCTGTTTTTACCAGCCCTCCAGGAGATTTTGACTGCTTTGAAAATTTGAAAACCACTGCTTTAGAAATTCAGGAAAACTCATTGTAGGTAGGGTACTTAGGGAAGGATGCAGAAGAGTCATTTCCATATCATAATGTCTCACTAAGATATTTCACCAAAACAACTGAAAAACAGAGGTCTTTTATAATTTACAGAAAAACAGATTGAATTAACAATAGGATTTTTTAAAACAAATTTAAGGTTGTTTTACTCGGATTTTCTTAAATACTGATGCTTACAACATTGGTCTTTATTTTGAATAAGAAGTAAGTTCAGCTCAAGAGCAAGGAACGTGTTGTGCATTTGTGGAAAGTAAACAAAATCAGGCCGGGAAGGACCACCATGCGACAGGCTGGGCATGCCAGGCTGAAGTGTTTGGATTTTGTCCTGCAGAGAGAAAATGATACTATTTCTGCTCCAGTCAGTGGTTTCTTGCTCTCTGCCTGACACCAACTCCCTCAGAGGGCAAATTCTCTCCTGGGAAATGCAAATAGCTTTGTTTTCTTTGAGATAATTGCTTATTTTGAATAATATATGCTGTGCATAAGTAATGAGTGGAGAGACAGTGTGCAAACATGCCTTTGCTTTTCTTCAACTGCCTCCTACTCGGGCACTAGAAGAGCGATGCTGGGGTGGACAAGCCCACCTCCCCAACAGCAGTCCCATTGTCTCTGCACTGACACATCAGCATTGCTACCACACAGTCTCTCTGCTGGGCTGGGAACAGCCGGCTTCAACCTGCTGCCTTGTTTACTAAATGGAATCAGCAGATAATTTCACGGTGATATAGACAGCGTGAAAATCTCACTCAAGATTCATAAATCCTGCTTTAAATTCGGCCAGCTTGTACACAAGCTGCCCTCTCAGCTCTTTCCAATTGGAAGTTGCAGTCACACCAAGAATGGAAGATGGAGTTTGAGACAGAGAAGTACATGCCTAGTCTGACTACCTAGTCCCAGGGAAGGATGTAGAGACCGAAGTGATTTGGGCCAGGTAAGTGGGGAGAGAGGCATTCATCACAATACTCAGTCACAAAGTGGAGGAAATGCAAGTCATAGTGCAAACAGCTGTGGCCTGAGAATCAGGATCACTGAGGTCTTATTGGATAAATCTGCTAATCACGTGTCACAGGCCAAGAGGATGTTAAGCTTGTTCTCTCCTCCAAATTTATTTAACTCCTAATAAAACATATATGGTTTAGGGGATATCCCAGAGGTTTAGATGAAAGTTCTGAATTTGGGAAGACAAAAGGAGTGAAGGTTAAGGTGAGCCACTTGGAAACAGTCATGCCATGAGAAAGAAGAAATCTAATGCCAACTGAGCTCCTGAAGTGTGGACTTCTGATCTTTGTCCATTTTTGATCTTTGAGTCTCCACAGTTTTCAGCATACAGGATGTTTCTTTCAGGCTGGGTGTGGTGGCTCACACCTGTAATCCCAGCACTTTGGGAGGCCTAGGCAGGCAGATCATGAGGTCAGGAGTTCGAGACAAGCCTGAGCAACACTGTGAAACCTCGTCTCTACTAAAAATACGAAAATTAGTCAGGCGTGGTGGCGTGTGCCTGTAATCCCACTACTCAGGAGGCTGAGGCAAGAGAATTGCTTGAACCTGGGAGGCAGAGGTTGCAGTGAGCCAAGATCACCCCACTATACTCCAGCCTGGGTGACAAAGCGAGACTCTGACTCAAAAAAAAAAAAAAAAAAATCACTATTTCAATGAAAGTCTTCTCATTTCATTGAAACACACACACACACTTAAAAAAGACATGACCTATGTATTGTGAGTCATTATTAGTATGTTAGGCAAAGTATTCTGTTACTTCCTTGGACTGAATGGAATTTTTTATTAAGCAACCATTGCAAATGACATGGGTCAGTTTTGCTGGAGAATTTCTTGAGAAGCTGTGGGCAAAGTGACCACAGAAAGGCTAGCATCATGTGACAGTGGCTGCGGTCCTGTTCCATTTTATGCTCTATTCTATGTGTTCACTCTTCTTAGGCAAGCATAGCCACTAAATTCTGCAGTCTAATCAGCCTAAAAACTGAGCTCCATAAATTTGGAAAAAAAAATCCATGAATTTAGAAAAAAAATCAATGGAGAATTGGTGGTTTTAACCCACGTTAAAAGTGAGTATTTACAGAATCAAGGACAGATGGGCTAGCACCATAATCTTACCCTGGCAAAATCTCTGAGGTATGTGATATTGCCACTGGACAAAGTGGAAAGACCACTGATTGGGGAAAGTTTCTTTTTATTTCCTTTTTGGCCATTTTGTGTTTATTCAGAAGAGTTCATAGAAACAATCTTCAAATTTTAAAGCAAATATAACCATGAGCATTTCCCTGAAGCTAAATCCAAGACCACACGTCTACACATCTTCATTTCTCAATTGCATAATTTTGGAGATGGTGTTTTCTGTGTGGAAAAGGAGTCCAGACTCATCTGTGACTTTTTTGGAAAAACTACAAAAAGATTGAGATGGTTACTACAACATCTTATTCTTATTAGTCTGCATTAGCTTGTTTGGGCTACCATAACAAAATACCACACACTAGATGGCCTAAACAACAGAAATTTATTTCCTCACAGTTCTGGAATCTGAACTCTGAAATCAAGGTGCCGGTCTGGTTGTTTTCTGGTTGGTCTCTTCCTGGCCTGCAGATGGCTGGCTGCCTTCTAGCTATGTCCTCTTGTGACCTTTCACTGGTGCCTGCATACAGAGAGAGAAAGAGTATGAGCTCTCTGATGCACATTCTTATAAAGGCATCAATTCTATGCAATCAGGGCCCCATCTTTATGATCTCATTTAACCTTAATTAGTTCTTTTGAGTCCCAATCTCCAAATATAGTCACATTAGGGGTTAAGACTTCAACGTAAGGATTTTGGGAGGAAACAAACATTTAGTCTTTAATGGGATATATTCATATATCATGGAAGGAGCAAGAGCTTGTCCTAATACCATACCATATATAGTGGGTAGACTTTAGGGTAGGGTTACTTCATGGAATGAAGATCATAAATGTTTATGTAGGGTTTCAATTTCTCAAATCTAAGTGATAGAGTATAAGAACATGAAATCTGCTGACTATGGGAAGTGATTTCCAGTGGGAAATGGTTGCACCTGACCTCAGAGTAGAGGCTGAGCTAGACTGGATTTCAGAGTTTCTATCCACCCTGTCTTGGGATCATACTATTGATCAAATAAGCCTTCCTAGGAGAAGAAACACTAAGCCCTAGCAAGTCTGCCGAACTCTAATCATCAGGGAATGGATTAAAGCCAACAGATGAAGATTAAAAGACAGCATTACCATTCTTAGAGATTCTTGGATAAATTACAAAATTCAATTTAGAGGGACTCAAGGGCTGATTGTCATACACCTATTGGTCACTGAACACTTATGCTTGTGGTAGAGAAGCCTTCACCTTGCCTCCAAGGGACAGGGTGAATCATGCATGTTCAAATTGTATTGCTTAGTTTACAGGCAAATAAATTTGTCTGCCAGCTGCCTGGACTAGAAAAAAATGATGTGTCTCATTTACATAGCAAAGCGAAACAGTGAAGGGTCTTGATAAAATATAGGTGCTATTGCCCAGGTCTGAGTGCAATAGACATGAAAGAGATGTGGCTGGTGATAAGAAACGACAAATTCTAGGAGAAAAATGTATTTATTTGGAAGATGCTCACTTTCTGCAAAAAGGTTAGTTTAAACATCTGAGCTAATGTACTGTAAACTGTTAAACTATTTCCTAAACAAAGGGAGTGCATAAACGACATATTGATTGTTTTTCGTTGGTGCATTGTGTATTTTAGGTTACAGCTTGTTTGCAACTGAAAGTAAACTGTAGCAATGTGATGGATTTGCCTATGTGTGAAATGGATCTTCAACAAGGGAATCACAAAACGTTTACACTTCTAGACATGAGCACTCCCAACACACCGTAGTCTGCCTTTCCAATTTCATCCAACTGTGATGGAAGGAAGAAAAAATTCCGTAACATCAATGTGCACTTAATTGTCAGAGGGAAATAAAATTACAAAGTTTAGTAATACCATAAAAATCTGTGCTGTTATGCAAGAATCTAAAATTACATGCTCTCTAAAGGAAAATCATTACACTATAGGGACTCACAAAAGCTTTCCAAACAGAGCTGCATAATCTCACAGTTAAGAGCAGTTTCTTCTGGTTGAAAGAGACTAAAAACAAAACAACAAAAAAAGCACTCATTGTCATGTTGTAACGGTCGACCCATTCAAGGTGACTGTGGGTCATTTTGCTGTTTTGAGCCTGTGATGTTAGGAATGTAAGGGTGAAGATAATGTGTTTTATATGTATAAATTTAAACTGTGCTCTATTATTTGATGTGAACTCCAATTAGCACGTTCTTTTACATTCTAATAGGTGGCTCAATCATCTGTTTTTTAAAAAAGCAATGGGATTCTCTTAAAGGTGGCCATAATTAAGGCGGGAAGGCGGGGCGGGGAGGGGAGAAAAAGAAAGAACACAAATAATTAGCTCATATAATTGAGGTGATTTTCCTAAGGATAGAAGCCATGTATCTTCTCCTTAAAGGAGGGTAGGGGGGAAAGGGCACTGGGTTTTGTTAATGCATCTTCTGACATAGAATTTAAGCTTTGTTTGTTCTATACATGGTGATGTAAAATGACATATTCTGGGTCTCTGGATGTGGGAAAAGTTAATGGGGTTTCAAGGTATTGCTTTGGATTTCTCTTCTCTCTGCTCTTCTCCGTCAAAACTCGCTATTATTTCCTGTTGGATTCCCAAGAGATCACCTATCAGAAGCAGAAGGGTAAGCTCAACTATGCAGCTTACAGAAGTACAGGCACCACCATTACCAAGATAATTATCTTAAATTCTTTGACCACATGCCTTGCCTCAGTCAAGACTCCTCCATCTGTGCAAAAATTTTGCCCTGCTCACATATCCCAGGGTGATTCAGTGTAGAGAAAATGGCTTTGGACTCAGACTACATTGGATTGTAGGATTGAGTCCACTTGTTAGACTAGGATGTCAAGTGTTGTTTTGAATTAATGTTATCTTCAGTTTTATCCTCTGTAAATTGGAGAAAATACCTATTTCATTAGAATCAAGGAAAAAAATGCACATTTCTTTCCTTTGTCTTGGCAGCAGATTTAAGTCTGCGGGCAATGAACAATTGCCAGAAGGAGGAAACTCAATTCTGGCAAAAGTGAGTACAAAGAAAAAAGTACCAAGTATTAATGGCCATGGTATTTAAGGTCAATTTAATACAGAATTACAAGTAGGCCTGCTAGGTTTCTTATAAGTATATCCATGCAATATTTGGCACACAGTCATAGTTTAAAAAATTGTTATTTATCTGAAATTCAAATTAAACTCTGTGCTCTGGTATTTAATTTGGTAACACTAATCACAAAGTGTCATGGATATGTGGCAAAAAGGCTGAATATCAGTGTGAAGGTCAGCAGGCCAGGCTGATACACATGGAGAAACTGCCAGCTGATTATTACTGAGTTGAAGCATTAAATACTAAGGTACTTGCTGAGATGCTTGGAAGAATCAGGTTTAACTAATGACTATGATATGTTAGCACTTAGCCAGATAAAGAATTGATAATTGCTAAGAGATCATAATTATGATATTGTGTTTAATCCGAAATTAATTTGTAGCAAGAGATTACTAATGTTGATTTATTATACCCAGTTACAAGATGTATGTGGATTACCTTGAACCAACTGTTTGTAGCTTAGGAAGGGAGAACCTACCACATGCAGGGTTTACTCTCCCCTTAGGAAATAAACATGAAGGGAATAAGTCACTTCACCACTGGACATCACTGGGCAGCATTAGAGCATGGGGACTCTCAGGTGGACAGGTTCTGTGGTCCTCAAGATGTTCTGGGCCTCTGAAGGCCTGCCCAGGCCTGGGCCTCTTGGAGAATCACTGGGGGACTAGATGGGGCCTGTCCTAACCCCTCTTCTGCAGGAAGTGGGACTAGTGTCTTTTCGCTTTCTCTCTCTCTCATTTGCTAAATTTAAATTAAAGCACACACTGAATGCCAGCCCAGATCATCCACCACCTATTTTGAGAACTGTGTACTTACTGTGTTTCTGCTGGTGGGTACGTGTCTTTCATCTGGGATTGTGCCCTCGTTAGATACTAGTGCTACTGCCAAGAGACCTGAATGGCTTTTGGATATTGCATTCCCACTTGCAGTAAACAAGTGGGTACATCTTTCCCAATATGTGATATTGATTTTTTTTGCCTTATAGATATAAAATTGTGTTTTATTATTTTCATGTCCATTTCTTTGTATACTGGTGAGTTTGACAGTTTCTTCTTATACTTATTAGTCATTTTGTCCTCTTCATCTATTACCTGTGAATATCTTTGCTCACATTTCTGTTGGGGCTTCTGACCTTATATACTAGATATTGTCTTAAAACTTTTAAACGTGATACTTATCTTCTCCCTGCTATCATGTTTCACTGTCTTAATTGTGCCAACAATGTCTTTTAATGAACAGAGTTCTTAATTTCTATGTAACCATATCTATTAATATCTCTATATTGTATATGCTTTTGGCATATTGTCAAATACCTATCTCTCCACTCCTGAGTATTACAATTATTTTTTTTTCTGTTACATCTTAGATGCTTTTTCATCACATTGTATATTTAATCTGGACCCACCATTATATATGATGATAATTAGGGTACATGATTTTTCTCCTTATTGTAAGTTTGTTTCCATTATACCATTCTAAACAATATGCTGCTTTCAGTTTCATTATTTGTCAATTAAGCATGCTATTTCTGAGCTATTTTCATACATTGGTTCCTTTGTTGCTGTGCCAATATCAGCCTTTTAAATTACTACGGCCTTATAATAAGTCTTCATAACTGATGGAGTTAGCATTCTCTTTTTATTTTTATTTGATAAAATTGTAATAGCTGTTCATGGGCCTAAATTCTGGCACAAACATTTTTAAAATGAGTTTGACAAGTTTCTCCAAAATTCAACCCAGAAATTTTAATAGAAACCATTTTTATTTGTAGCTTAATTTAAAGACTTTCTATTTTTGTAACAATTTGCATAGAATAGGAATTAACTCCTTCATAGAAATTCAGTGGAGTTTGCCTATAAAAACACTTGGACCTGCAGCTTTGAGGAGGATGGATTTTACCTACTATTTTATATTTCTAAATGTCTATTATCAGGTTAATGTTTCCATTTTTTCTAATGTCATTTATTTTGGAAATGTATTTCATCTACTTTTTTTTACTAATTTATTAATCTATTAAATGTATTTTAATCTGTTTTTGTCATTAGCAATTTTGTCCTTTTCAATATATATTTTTAAAATATGCATCCTTTTTTTCTTGAATTATCATATCAGAAGTGTACAATATTAGTGTTTTCCAAATATCAGTATCGGGTATTAACTTTATTATTTTTCTTAATGCACTGTTTCATTGAAATGTGCCCTTAGATTCCTTTTTTTTTTCTGATTTGATTTTACTCTGTTGATTGTTTTCTAACTAATTATGTTGTCATCTTAGCTCATTTAAAACATGTATTTACTGACAACTACAGTTAAATTTAGTGCATAAGTTGGGTCTTACAAATTTTCAAATTTATTTATTACCATTCAGTTCTAATTTTTCATGATATGCTTTATGAACATAGGGTTATTTACTAGTTTACCAGCATGATATTTTGTTTGCAGACACATGGAATTTTTAATGCTATCTGTTGTTATTAATTTCTGTTTTTGAGGGGGTCATAGGAAATAGTATGCATGGGGTTGCTTTCTTTTTTAAAATTTTGTTATATCTTTTTCTCCATTTCTCTCTTCCTTTCTACTTATTTATTTTAATAATTTTTGTGGCTTTCTTTCAGTATTGCATGGTCAATTTTCTAAATGTCACGTGTACTCGAATATGTATTGTTTCTTGGGTGCAAAGCTCTAGACTTGTCTCATAGATTAATTTGATCTCTATATGATATTATCTATGTTTTTTATATATCTGTTCATTACGCCTCCTGGGTCTATCAATTTCTGAGAATAGTATGATAAAATCTCTAGCAAGAATTCACAGGGTCTCTATATTTTTCTTTGGTTTGGCTTTATGTATTTTGAAACTGTATTATTATAGTCATAACTATTTATAATTTATTTTCTTGACCAATTGTACTTCTTACCATTATGATGAACCTCTTTGATATTTTGTAATATTTTTGTCTCAAATTATATTTTGCTAGATATTAATAACACTCCTTCAGATGTCTTTTGGTTATGTTTACATGACATATTTTTTCCATCTTTTATTTTCAGTTCTTATTTTCAAATCATTACAGATAATATATTTTTGCATGTTTCTTTTTAATTTCAGTCTGAGTTATGGTCTTTTCATTTGTGAATTTAATCCAATAATATTATAGATTAATATTATTATATTAGAATTTGTTTCTGTTCCTTTATTTTACATTTTTCCTTTAATGTCTTTCTTTTTTTTAAATTTTTTTCTCTTTCCCTTTTTGCGTTGGCCATGAAAGGTTTTCTTCTGATGGTTTTAAAATTATATATTCTACTTTTGTTTTTACACTATCTTTATGCAAAGAACACTTCTCATATTTATGTCTATGTTGATCTCTTAAATATTTTATCTATATCTCTTCCATAACCAGTCAGAAAAGGTATCAGACTCTCAAATCCTTTTGGCCTTTCCACCTACTTCATCTCTACTGAATATTAGTTCTAGGTTTATATCACAATATAGACTACTGTTCTTCTCTCATCCTAGTTTCAAGGCACAACTATGGTCTTTGCTAAAATACTAAATTATCCTTACTTCTTATACAGGTTGCCGTATCTACCTGGTTGTAGTTTTCTTATTTGAATGCCTCTCCCTAGAGTATTTTTCCAAGTGGATTTTTGTATCCCTAAATCTTCCGAGGCTGACATGCTTGAGAATATTTTTACTTACCTCCCTATTGCCATTTAGCTAACGAAATAATAATTCTGAAACCTGAGATTGATCTCATTCAGTTTCATTATAGAAAACCAGAATTTTTTTCTGGAGATGTCTCTGTGTTTGCTACTTCTAAAGTGTTTAGGTAGGGATATTTTCTTACTTATCCTAATTAGACCTTTCTGGGCCCTTTCAGTCTGAAGTCTCACATCTTGTTTTAATTTTAGGAATTTTATCCTCATTAGCTTTTGCAAATATTTCCTTTCCTGTGTTTATTACTTTTTGTTCTTCAGAAACTCTTACAGAGGTTGGGACTTCTACATCTATCTTCTGTATGTATTGCTTAACTTTTCTCTTGCATCTTCTTTATCCTGTTTTGTATTCTGAGAGTTCCTCAATCTGATCTTTGAGCTTGCTCATTCACTCTTTCGTTATACTCATCTATTTAGGCCATTTAAAATATTTCAGCTACCATATTCTGCATTCTTAGTATTTCCAACTTTTTATGATTCATTGCTTTTGCTTTATATTAATACCCTCTCTCCTATCTTTGAGAGTATTTATTGTGCTTATTTTCTATTCTTAGGCCATCTGTTCCAATAAGTCTGTTTTATATACCATATGCTGTTTAGTTTGTAGTATTTATGTATAATAATATTCTTCAGATGTGTAAAAATTTGGCATGCTACTTCATTTTCCTAATAGTTACCTTTTATGGCAATAGCCAGGCCCAAATTCGAGGCCATGTTGGACATCTAAAGGGAGGCAATAAGCCTCAAATTGGAAAACTCTAGCATTTGTCGTGGACATACCTTAGATGACCCCCAATAAGTCATGTCCTTATAAATATCCTCCCTTCCAGTGCAAGCAGAACCTATGACTTGCTTTTAACCAATACACCATAGAAAACATTGATGGAATGATACCCCTTACCTCATGATTACATTTTGTTATATATTACCCTGTCTTAGCAGACTAGAGAGATAGATTCTCCTGCTTGTCTCGATGGAACAAGTAGTCATGTTGTGAATTGCCTACGGAGAAGGCCACGTGATAGGAAACTGCAAGTGGCCTGCAGAATGGAGATGAGCCCTGGATGAAAGCCAGCAAGAAAATCGGGACCTCAGTCCTGTAGCTTCAGGATGACTTCTTCCAACAACCTGATGGAGATTGGAAGTGTACCTTTTCCCAGTCAAACCTCTGATGAGACTGCAGGCCCAGTCAAACCTGGATTGCTACCTGATGAAACTCTAGGGCAGAGGACCTATTTAAAGTGTGCCTGCACTTCATGACATGCAGATACTGTGAAATAATGAATATGTGCTGTTTTACACCTCTAAGTTTGCAGCAATTCGTTATACAGCAATAGAAAACCAGTACAGCACCCACCCTCTGTTGAGTACTCTTCTTGGCTCCTATACAACCAGTCAACTCTTCTGAATAGGTAGTGCCTTTAAATCATTAGAGGAAAGCACCATTAGGAGAAGGAAGTTGTTTCAGACGTAATTCACTAGCCATAAAAGGTTGAGATAATGGGGAGTTAGGGTGGATGTCCTCAGATGGATAGCAAACTCCCATCTGTTTTCATCATCACCACCACTCAGGTATAAATTCTCAAAGTCTTCATTATGTTATTCATGTTTTAGACAACAACACACTTTACTGGGGTATTTGGTTACCCTTATTTTTCAGATTTCATGGAGCATCCTCTAGGATTTCTTTTAGGGTTTTTAAAGAAGGGTTTTATTATCGTTGCCATCATCTGCATCCTAAAATTAAAAAAAAAATTCCTTGCTGTAGGATTGAAGTTATTTTCCTTCAACACTTTGAAAATGTTAATATTCTGTCGCCTTGTTTTTTCTGTTGGTATTGAAAAGTTTTGTATCAATCTGAATGTTTTTCACTTAAAAATAACTGCATTCTCTGAAAGCAGTTAGGATATTGTCTCAAATTTTCCTATAATACACATATGTGTGCATTTTTCTTTATACAATTTTGTACTTTTTAAGGTCTCTTCAACTTAGGTGTTCATATTTTAAATTCTGAGAACTTTCTTCTGATTCTAGTTTTATCTATTTCTACCTCTTAATTTATTTGTTTTACTTCTTTCTGGTACTGTTATGATTGGTTGGTGACAGTTGTGTCTCTATATTCCATATTTAAAAACTTGTTTGTTACATTTGCCATTATGTCATACTTTTCTGATGTTTTCAAAATAAGTTATTGAATACCACCTTTCTATTCATCAATTCTGATAATTATTCATCCTGTAACATATTTTGTGTATTATATATTCAATAAATCTACTTGTTTCTTTTTGATTATTGCTTATTATTGATTAATATCATCAGTATATCCTACCTTATCTCTTTTAAGATATTTATCATGTTTGTTTTAAAATGGTAATCTCTGTATAACATTTATTCAGAACCATGGAGTATACACTATTATGTATGTTGCCATTCCATTGTAAAGACTGTGCTGAGATGATTTATTTTTCTCTTTAAGATCATTTACCTTAGCCATTCGTAGTTCCCAGGGGAGAAGGACCTCTGTTCTATTTTATTGACTTTAATGTTGTTGGATGGTGCTGACATATCCATTTACTGTGTTACCACCAGTCTTTCCTTCTTCTTAGGAAAGCCCAGGTACTTCTCCAAGAATTACTTTCTCTTGGCTGTAACTACCTACCTTTAAGGTTTAGAAGAGAAGATGATTATGCTCAGCAGCTGCCATTTCTCAGAGCATTTTATCCACTCCTAACTCAGCAGGTCTTCTGCACTGTGTTGTTGGTATCTTGTGAACAGAAAAATACTTAGCATAATTTCTTTTTTTTTTCATAAGTTATTGGGGTATAGGAGGTATTTGGTTACATGAGTAAGTTCTTTAGGGGTGATTCGTGAGATTTTGGTGCACCCATAACCCGAGCAGTATACACTGCACTCTATTTATAGTCTTTTATCCCTTGCCACCCTCCCTCTCTTTCCCCCAAGTCCCCCAAGTCCATCGTATAATTCTTATGTCTTTGTGTCCTCATAGCTTAGCTCCCGCAAATTAGAACATACAGTGTTTGATTTTCCATTCCTGAAATACTTCACTTAGAATAATAGTCTCCAATCTCAACCAGGTCACTGCAAATGTTCTTAATTAATTCCTTTTTATGGCTGAGTAGTATTCCATCATATATATCACAGTTTCTTTATCCACTTGTTGATTGACGGGCATTTAGGTTGGTTCCACGATTTTGCAATTTTGAATTGTGCTGCTAGAAACGTGTGTGCAAGTTTCTTTTTTGGATAATGACTTCTTTTTTTAAGTTAATTTATTTTTTTATTATACTTTAAGTTATAGGGTACATGTGCACAGGTGGCTAGGCAATTAACCCAGCACCATTTGTTGAAAAGGGTGTTCTTTCCTCACTTTATGTTTTTGCTCACTTTGTCGAAGATCAGTTGGCTGTAAGTATTTGGGTTTATTTCTGGGCTCTCTACTGTGTTCCATTGGTCTATGTGCCTATTTTTATACCAGTACCACACTGTTTTGGTGACTATGGCCTTATAGTATAGTTTGAAATCAGGTAGTGTGATGCCTCCAGATTTGTTCTTTTTGCTTAGTCTTGCTTTGGCTATGCGGGCTCTTTTTTGGTTCCATATGAGTTTAGAATTGTTTTTTATAATTCTGTGAAGAATGATTTTGATATTTTGATGTGGATTGTATTGAATGTGTAGATTCCTTTTGGCAGTATGATAATTTCCACAATAGTTAGTCTATCCATCCATGAGCATGGGATGGGTTTCCATTTGTTTGTATCATCTGTGATTTATTTCAGCAGTGTTTTGTAGTTTTCCTTGTAGAGGTCTTTTAACTCCTGGGCTAGGTGTATTCCTAAGGTGGTTTTTTTCTTTTTTTTTCTTTTTCTTTTTTTTTTTGCAGCTATTGTAAAAGGGGTTGAGTTCTTGATTTGATTCTCTGCTTAGTCATTGTTGGTGTATAGAAGAGCTACTGATTTGTGTACATTAATCTTGTATCCAGACACTTTGCTGAATTCTTTTATCACTTCTAGGAGCTTTCTGGAGGAGTCTTTAAGGTTTTCAAGGTAAATGATCATGTCATCAGCAAACAGTGACACTTTGACTTCTTCTTTACCGGTTTGGATGCCCTGTATTTCTTTCTCTTGTCTGATTGTTCTGGCTAGGACTTCCAGTACTATGTTGAACAGGAGGGGTGAGAGTAGTCATCCTTGTCTTGTTCCAGTTCTCAGAGGGAATGCTTTCAACTTTTCCCCATTCAGTATTATGTTGGCTGTGGGTTTGTCATAGATGGCTTTTATTACATTGAGGAATGTCCTTTGTATGTCAATATTTTGCTGAGAGTTTTAATCATAAAGGGATGTTGGATTTTGTTGAGTGCTTTTTCTGCATCTACTGAGATGATCATGTGATTTTTGTTTTTAATTATGTTTATGTGGTGTATCACATTTATTGACTTGCGTATGTTAAACCATCCCTGGCATCCCTGACATGAAACCCAGTTGATCATTGTGGATTATCTTTTTGATATGTTGTTGGATTCGGTTAGCTAGTACTTTGTTAAGGATTTTAGCATCTATGTTCATCAAGGATATCAGTCTGTAGTTTTCTTTTTTGGTTATGCCCTTTCCTGGTTTTGGTATTAGGGTGATGCCGGCTTCATAGAATTAATTAGGGAGGATTCCTTTTTATCTTGCGGAATAGTGTCAAAGGATTGGTACCAATTTTTCTTTGAATGTCTGGTAGAATTCTGCTGTGAATCCATTTGGTCCTGGAATTTCTTTGTTGGTAATTTTCAAATTACCATTTCAGTCTTGCTGCTTGTTATGGGTCTGTTTAGGGTATTTAATTCTTCCTGATTTAAGCTAGAAGGGTTATATTTTTCCAGGAATGTATCCATCTTTTCTAGGTTTTCTGGTTTATGTGTGTAAAGGTGTTCATAGTAGCCTTGCATGATCTTTTGTATTTCAGTGGTGTCAGTTGTAATATCTCCTGTTTCTCTTCTTAGTGAGGTTATCTGGATTGTCTCTCTTTTCTTGGTTAGTCTCGTTAATGGTCTATCAATTCCTTCCCTACACGCCCTGTTAGCAGAAGACAAAACTGAAATTATATCAAGCACTCTCTCAGGACACAGTGGAATAAAACTGGAAATCAACTCCAAAAGAAAGCTTCAAAACCATGCAAATACATGGAAATTAAATAACCTGCTCCTGAATGAGCATTGGGTCAAAAATGAAATCAAGATGGAAATTTAATAATTCTTCAAACTGAATGACAATAATGACACAACCTATCAAAACCTCTGGGATAGAGCAAAGGCAGTGCTAAGAGGAAAGTGCATAGCCCTAAACACCTACATCAAAAAGACTGGAAGAGCACAAGCTGACATTTTAAGGTCACACCTCAAGGAACTAGAAAATAAGAACAAAGCAAACACAAACCAAGCAGAAGAAAGGAAATAACCAAGACTGGAGAAGAACTAAATCAAATTGAAACAAACAAACAAAAAATACAAAAGATAAATGAAACAAAAAGCAGTTTCTTTGAAAAGATAAATAAAATTGAGGTTCATTTTATGGCCTATCATGTGGTCTATCTTCGAGAAAGTTCCATGTGCTATTGAATAAAATTTGTATTCTGTGGTTGTTGGATGAAATGTTTTGTATATATCTGTTAGGTCTATTTGTTCCAAGGTATAGTTTAAATCCATTGTTTCTTTGTTAACGTTCTGTCTTGATGGCCTGTCTAATGCTGTGAGTGGAGTATTGAAGTCTCCCACTATTATTGTGTTGCTGTCTATCTCATTTCTTAGGTCTATTAGTAATTGTTTTATAAATTTGGGAGCTCCAGTGTGAGGTGCATATATGTTTAGGATTGTGATATTTTCCTGTTGGACAAGGCCTTCTACTATTTTATAATGTCCCTCGTTGTCTCTTTTAACAGCTGTTGCTTTAAAATTAGTTGTGACTGATATAAGAATAGCTACCCCTGCTCTCTTTTGGTGTCCATTTGCATGAAATGTCTTTTTTCATCTCTTTACTTAAGTTTACCTGAGTCCTTATGTGTTAGATGAGTCTCCTGAAGGCAGTAGATAGTTGGTTGGTGTGTTCTGATCCATTCTGTGGTTCTATATCTTTTAAGTGGAGCATTTAGGCCATTTACATTCAATGTTAGTATTGAGATGTGAGGTACCATTGCATTCATCATGCTGTTTTTTGTCTGTGTACTTTGTTTTTTTGATGTTTGTTTTGCTTTTTAACTTGTATTTTTGTTTTATAAGTCCTTTGTGATTTATGCTTTAAAGAAGTTCTGTTTTGAATGTTTCCAGGATTTGTTTCAAGATTTAGAGTTCCTTTGAGTAGTTCTTGTAGTGGTGGCTTGATAGTGGCGAATTCTCTCAGCACTTGTTTGCCTGAAAAAGACTCTATTTTTCCTTCATATATAGTGCTTAGTTTCACTGGATACAAAATTCTTGGCTGATAATTGTTTCGTTTGAGGAGGCTGAAGATAGGTCCCAATCCCTTCTAGCTTGTAGTGTTTCTGCTGAGAAATCTGCTGTTAATTTCATAGGTTTTCTTTTATAGGTTACCTGGTGCTTGTGTCTTATAGCTCTTAAGATTCTTTCCTTTGTCTTAACTTTGGATAACCTGGTGACAGTGTGCCTAGGCAATGATCTTTTGTGATGAATTTCCCAAGTGTTCTTTGTGCTTCTTGTATTTGGATGTCTAAGTCTCTAGCAAGGCTGGGGAAGTTTTTCTGATTATTCTGCCAAATATGTTTTCCAAGCTTTTAGAATTCTCTTCTCCTCCAGAACACTGTTTATTTTTAGGTTTGGTCTTTCAACTTAATCCCAGACTTCTTGGAGGCTTGGTTCATATTTTCTTATTCTTTTTTCTTTGTCTCTGTTGGATTGGGTTAATTCAAGGACCTTGTTTTTGAGCTCTGAATTTCTTTCTTCTACTTGTTCAAGTCTATTACTGAGACTTTCTAGAGCATTTTGCATTTTTATAAGTGTGTCCAGTGTTTCCTGAATTTTTGATTATTTTTTTCTTTATGCTATCTATTTCCTTAAATATTTCTCCCTTCACTTCTTGTATCATTTTCCTCGCATTGGGCTTCACCTTTCTCTGGTGCCTCCCTGACTAGCTTAATGACTAACCTCCTGAATTCTTTTTCAGGCAAATCAGGGATTTCTTCTTGGTTTGGATCCATTGCTGGTGAACTAGTGTGATTTTTTTTGGGAGGTGTTAAAGAGCGTTGTTTTGTCATATTACCAGGGTTGGTTTTCTGGTTCCTTCTCATTTGGGTAGGCTCTGTCAGAGGGAAGATCTTGGGCTGCAAGCTGTTGTTCAGATTCTTTTGTCCCACAGGGTGTTCTCTTGATGTAGTACTCTCCCCTTTTTCCTATGGATGTGGCTTCCTGTTAGCCAAACTGCAGTGATGGTTGTCCCTCTTCTGGGTCTAGCAACCCAGCAAGTCTACCCAGCTCTGGGCTGGTACTGGGGGTTGTCTGCACAAAGTCCTGTGATGTGAACTGTTTAAGGGTCTCTCAGCCATGGATACTAGCACCTGTTCCGGTGGAGGTGGCAGGGGGCAAGGGGCTATGCAATGGACTCCATGAGGGTTCTTAGCTTTGGTAGTTTAGTTTTGTGCTGGTTGGCCTCCTGCCAGGAGGTGGGCTTTCTAGAGAGTATCAGCTGTGGTAGTATAAAGAGGAACCAGCAGTGGGCGGGAGCCTAGAACTTCCAAAATTATATGCACTGTCTTCTGCTAACAGGGTGTGTAGGGAAGGACTATCAGGTGGGGGCAAGCTTAGGCATGTCTGAGCTCAAACTGTCCTTGAGTGGTCTTGCTGCAGTTGAGTATTTGGGGTGTCTCCCGGGTCCTGCAGGAGCAGTCTGCTTTTTTCAAAGGGTCTCTACTTAGCATAATTTTGAAATACAAAAGCCTAGCTTGGAATTCAGGCTCTGAGACATACTAGCTGAGGAACTTAGACAATTTTCTCAACTTCTCCATGACTCTCTATTCTTGCATATTAAATGGGATAGTTATAGTGCTAATTGTTAGGATTACTGTGATACTTAAAAGAGGTAATTATATAAACCAATTAGAACAGTACCTGACACAAATTAGGGCCTAATAAACATTAGCTATAAGTGTGGTTATAGTGCCCAGCACTGGTACATGTTAAGTAAATGTCATTTATTTTGCATACCATTTACACCTATCTACAGAGCCTTATCTGAATCTGTGCACCCATTACTATAAAGATACACCAACATTTCAAATCTCCAGGAGTCCCATGTGCTTCCTGTCAAGCTCTAAGATTCTAGCCATCTTGGCAATATGGAATTTTTGAAAGAGACTGTTCAACCAAGGATATGAGATAAGATCTTGGTGTAATAAAAAAAAATATATATATATATATATTTAGAATCTGTAGTATCTTATACCCACTAATTCCAATCTTTAAGTCTTTAAACATGTGAACCCAAATTCCCCTGTGTATATGTAGTCCTTCACAGGTTACAAAGAAGCTTTACATACATTATCACATTTGATATTATAGAGTTTTTTACAAAAGATGAGAAAAACTTTATCCAAACTATTTTTAAGGGGAAACAAATTCTCAGTCTGGAGGATAAAAAGAAAGAAATTCAGGCAGCTTGAGTGTGGCAGACATGCAAAGTCAACCAAGATGTTTAAATTTCTAGTGCAGTGCATATCTCTCCTGCTCTACTCTTTTCAGAGAAACCAGGGAGAAATAGTCAGGAACCTTGCTGGGCCTTCTCTAGAAACTTTACGTGTGGATAAATGTAAGTGGAATTTTGGATGTTCATCATTTGATTCCATTCCATCATAGCTGAAGCTTAGGTTCATGCTGTTCCCTGCCTTTTCTGCAAAGAAGAGTGCTAGTGCTAATTTGTTTACCTTGAGCGGGCTATGCTTGGTGCTGGGCAGTGACGGTGGAAGTAGCCATCACAAAGGACATCAGGATTGAGTGTCCTTTCCTGAAGTTCAAGCTCTATTCAAAGCATTTCTACATATGTACATCCTGCTGTGAGTCATTCATAATTCATAATACATTTTCTAACATTTTCTAGTTGCTTATTGCTATTTGATGCCTAAGTTTGCACTAAGTTAGATAATGAATATGGTTCCTCAGAGCTAAACAATTCTGTTACCATTACATAAGTTAACCCACTAGCTTTTATATACACTGTTGACACTAGGGTGAACTGTCTGTTTACTGGAGAGGTGGGATATCTATGTATACTGAGAAAATATACCCTTAAGCGTCAATAAGTATGTATTCAGCTCTAACTGCTCAGTCCTATTCAAGACATTGTAGAGGAGAGCCAAAGACTAAGGCACATGAGGCTGTTAGAAACTGTATATGCATTAAATGTGTTTGTCAATGTGTGTATGCATGCAAAAGGAAGTTGAAGTCATAGATTTCATCCCCCATTACCTAGACAATAACTTGTCACATGCGGCCATCAGTGAATGCTTGCAAAATAAAGAAGTCAAGATCACTCTGAGCAGATAACTATAGCTGGGTCGGGCTTTCTGGACGAGATAGAACTTGAGATATTTGAATAATGTATGGGGGTGAGGGCAGGCATCCTAAGTGAGGTACAGAAATAAAAACAAGAAGGGAGTTTAGAAAGAAGGAAGGCGAATAATGTGGGCAGAATATCATCCATTATCAGAATATAGACATTGTATAAAGCTCCGTTACATTTACAATAGTCACATAATAACTTCATAGAATCTGTAAGCCATATCTATTCCACTTTGATTTTTGAAGGAATGCCAAAGCCCTTTCATGCTAACAAAATATGGTCATTTCTTTTTCACTTTTGAAAACTCAAACTAATTCTTTTTATAGCAAAGTATATACACTACTGGGAAAATGTTTATTTTTGCCCCCTGCATATTCTAGTACATAAGTTGAATGGGTTATTTTGGAAAACACTGTCATGAAATGACATATAGCAACCAGCATTTCTTGAGCTCACCCACCCAGGGCCATTCTAAGTTTGACATTATAAGAGGGGTTGCTACTTGCCGAGGGGGATGGTGTCATTGGCACCCTGTGGAGGGGAAGAAAGTAGAAAACAGGACAAAGCTTTCTGCCATAAAGAAACCTAATGATTCATGGAGGGGTATCAAGTGGGATGAGTAGCTAAACAGTGTGGATGGCAAGTGTTTTAGCTAAAGAAATTTGAGTTTCATAGTCTTTAAGAACAGGCTAGAATGTGTCCATGACCTAGATCAAACAAGGATGTACAGAAACAGAGTAGAAGGATGGTTACCAGAGGCTAGGAAGCATAGTTAGGGGGCGGGGTGGAAGGGAGGTGGGGATGGTTAATGGGTACAAAAAAATAATAAGAATGAATAAGACCTATTTGATCGCACAACAAAATGACTACAGTCAATAATAATGTAATTATACACTTTAATATAACTAAGAGTATAATTCGATTTTTTGTAACACTAAGGATAACACTAAGGATAAGAGTATAATTCGATTTTTTGTAACACTAATGAAGGGATGGATACCCCATTTACCCTGATGTATTATGCAGTGCATGCCTCTATCAAAACATCTCATGTATTCCATAAATATATATGCCTACTACATACCTTCAAAAAATTAAAAATTAAAGAAGGCTATGCTTCAATTTTAGCAGGGGCATCTTTGATCTTAACATGCACCTGAGATAGGAAATTGTGAGGAGATTGTTAGGAAGTGATTATAGAAGGTCTGAAGGCCTCATGACATCATCCAAGGTTCAAGCACAGGGCAGAGAATATAAGTCTGAGAAGAAACAATGGTCTTTAGAGTTAGTGATCCCTAGCATTGCCACCATGTGCAGTTTCTTCTCCTTGGAAGTTCAGGAGGAGAGCCATGTACAGGTAGCCTTGAGAACTGATTATAATCAGACCATTATGAATATAAGTGAGGTGTATTATTTATTTTAATCATTGTTACACAAATGCTGAGAAAAATCAGGGTTTTTATTAGACTTCTTTTAGACTCTAATACTTATTCTCAAGACCCACTATCATTCTCTGTGACTTCCACTTCGAAGGATACCTTATTTTAGTGATGAATACTGGGCATAAGTGGCCTGTGCCTAGATTAGATGATCTTATCCTTGGGGTTTATACACAGAGCTAGGTGAAGCTATAGAGACACTAAGCCATGTTAGGAATTGTTCAGGGTAGGGGAAGGGTGGCAGAGGGTGGGAGAGGTGGCACTGGCTCAGGGATTGCCACTGGCATTTCATCCAGAGCCCTTTCAGTTTATTCAGTTTAATATGTTTGCTTTGGGGTATTATTTCAACTGAAGAAATGTATCTAAGACAAGATAGCAATAAAAAGCCAGTGCTGTGGTGGAATCATCTATTGATTTCAGACTTTGTCAGTTAAGTCATACAGTGGATCTGATATCTCATTTAATATTTTCTTTCAATTGCTAAAACTGACCAACTGACTTGCAATATTTACAAAATGTATAGAGACAGTGTGGACTCAATCTGCAAATATTCTGTGAGTGGCTGAGTAAATGTAACCGAGGTGGCATTTTCAACTTGATGAGCATTTTGCCAAGGATGGAATAAGAGTAAGTGGAAGCTGAGGTACAGATGCATCTTCTCTTTAGGCTTACACGGGAACATCATCCCGTAGCAGTTTACACTGAGAATTTACCCAGACTGTTTTTCTTTTTTTTTTCCCCCTTGAGTCCTGAATAAGGTCGGCTCATGGCCTGGAAGCTATGAAATTTTTCTTGTTCTGGCAACCTAGGAAGAGAAGGTATTTTGCAACTTAGCTGAGTTGTTTCTTAATGTTTGCAGAGAAATATGTCTTCTTGTAGTTTTTTTTTAAGTTGAAAAGAAGCATGTTTTCTCAATGTATAGAAATGCCTAGTCCATATCTATACTAGATTTGTATTTGAGTTCAAAAATAATACAATGATTTTGTTCCCTGATAATTCAAGAGTTCAAAAATTGGTGGGAGCCATACTCCATATGGGACACCAGTGAAAAATTGGATTTGCAATAACTAGGAGGGGGGACACAATAAAACCTTCAGTGTAGAAAGAAAAGATTTATCCTCCCTGTTTACCTTTATTGTATGTCCTGGTGAATAATCATCTTTGACATCTGTAAACTACCTTTCATGGAACAGTCCCACAGGTCTTCCTCATTCAAGAGCTGCTTTCTGAATGTCACTTCTCTACTCAGTGACTCATTATTATGCCATGGTGGGAGGCCAAGGCCTTTAAATTGGAGATTACAGTATGATATGCTTAAAGGAAAATCTAAAAAAAATCCCTTGGCGGGGAAACTTTGGTACTGGGAGTTCTTGTGCATATAAACTATATTGCCAGCCTACATAGCTAGTTGGGAGAATGTGCCTTGCAGTGTAACTTCACTCCAGGGAAATTATTAAGTATACCTGTGGGTAATTTCAAGCTATTGGGAACAGTTACTCAAAATACTGGTTAAACTTCAAATTTTGCTGGTAAAGGACCAACAGCTTGTGGTTTACCACAAAGCAAGAGTTTCTTAAAGTGACAACCCCTTCTTGAACAGGAATCACACATGATAAGTGTTCCCAGCAGTTCTGTTTTTGGAGCAGCTTCCAAAGTGATGAATACAAATGACAACAACCATTATCCTAGCTTATTCGTGGTATCATACTGTCCTGAGAAACTACAGTTACATAAATCAAGGGAATATTGCTTAATATTACTATTAATACATTACATGCTAGAGCAGCAGTGGCAGTTGCTCACGAAGTTGATGTAACAGAATATATAAACATGCAGATGATTCATATTCTACAGAATGCAATCTTACTTTAAAGTCATTTGCAATAAAAGAAGTCCAATTTTAACTTTCCCTTTTATATACTTTCAATTATACCAGCTTAACTATATGTTTGTCAATTAAAAAAAAAACTTCATATATATGTGGGTATATACATATATAATCACTTCTCCCCACACACCCTGTTTAAGTTGCTTTTAAAAAACAGAATTGTCGACTTCCAGGTTCACATTTTCCATTCTACAGCTCCTAAAATGGTAAAACTATTCTGCGTTGCCTGTGGTTTCTGTGTATGAAGAAAGAATGATTTTTCATCTTTCACTCAAATTCTCAAACTTTTTAAAGGGGAGACAGTCACATTTTTTTTTTCATTTGGAAACAGACTTCTTTAAAGATACCTTTTCTGTAACTTCTTCAAAATGTGAAATGTGCCTACGTTTTTCCTCTCCTTAAAGTTTTCAGATAGAACTAGTTCAAACCTACAGACTTGACACCTAATAAATAAAGTCAAACATCTTATACTTTTGTTATAATACAATGAGCACAAAAAATGTGAATTTAAAAATAGCATGTTTTCAAAGACAAAATTGAGCCAGGACAATTTAATGCACAAATTTATAAAGTGATAATATTTTTTAACTTTATTTGAACCAATTGCTTTTCAATTGTTTGAAGTTGGTTTCAAAATTAGTGTTACTATTTTAAAACCTCAACTAAATTGAGTTGGATCAAGTAACTCATCTGGTTTTGGCCTTTTCCACATTTATGATTTGGAAGGGACTAAGCCCAATATGTTTCAATCCAATGCAGTAACTATCTGGTCAAATACTCGTCTTTGTCTGTCTCCAGTATTTAATCAATAGTATTTATGTAGCTTTAAGTAAACATCTTATTCTGTAAGGAGAAGTAATCAGGCAAGTAATTGATACTTATTTTATCTTTTACATCCCATTAAAACATACCCAAAGCACTAGAACTCTCATTGGAATACTTATGGTAGGTTAGATAAAATATCTGTTCCAATACAACATCGCATCAATTTCAAGGTTTTCCTCATGTTTTAAAGTGAAAATTAGAGTCAGAGACCATAGGAAGGAAGCACAATTTCAAACCCCCATGATGCTTGTAGTCTTGATATGAGAAATTAACTTTGGGGTAAAGTACTCATTTGCAACTGATACTCCTGGGTGTAAAATGAATGAGTTATTATATTCACTTCATTATTTGCTGCACGAATATAGTCAACTACTTTAGATTCTAGTTGCGAGGTCCTGGTAATAGCAAATATGCAAGAAAGGAATAGGAGAATTTCTGCTCTTAATGCATTGATGACCTAGAGTACAAGATAGAAGTATAAACATGTGATTAAAATTCAATATAATACTTCTACATCTTGTCAAGCTAGAGTAACAGTAACTAGATGTACTCATCAAACATTTAGAAGAAAAATAAACTATATGAAACCATTTTATTCAAGGCACTGGGCATCAGAAAATAAAGCACAGTGATACCTGAGATATAAAAATACCACAAATCAAAATTCTAGAGATGAATATTATAATGTCTGAGATGAAAATAACCTGAATAGGGTAATGGTAGGTTAGGCATTCAGAATATTAGGTTAGTAAAGTTGAAATCATAGCAACAGGAACTATCTAACATAAAACAGAAAAACACATAAAAATAAAATAAGAATTAGTAATCTTTGTTACAATTTAAAGTGGCCTAATATATATGCAATTGGAGTCAATAAAGAAGGGGGAGACAGAACAAAAATATTTGAAGAAATAATGATAGAAAAAGTTTCAAATTGAATTACAACTATAAACCAAGAGATCCCAAGAAGTGCAGAAGAACCAAAATAAAAGAAACCTAAAATCACATCAGAATGTATCATAATCAAAATTCTCAAAACCAATGAACAATATAAAATTCTAAAAGCACAGAAAAGGAAAGACACATTAGAGAAAGAAGAATAAATATAAGAAAGCAAATTTCTGGTCAGAAGTAATTTAAGGAAGATGATGGTAGAGCAACACTTTTTAAAATAAAACTATCAATGTAAATTTTTATAAACTGAAAGTATCTTTCAAAAGTCAAGGAGGAAGAACCTCCAAAGCTGTGGAATTCAATAATCAGGGTCTCTTTCTTTCCATATTAGCATCAACCTAGCTTTTCCGGAGCTAACTCAGTTCTTAATAAAAATAATATGTACCTTTTATTGGAAATAGTCTTTCTAGGGCCACTTCTGTTTTTTATTATTATACTTTAACTTCTGGGATACATGTGTAGAACATACAGGTTTGTTACATAGGTATACATGTGCCATAGTAGTTTGCTGCACCCATCAACCCATCATCTATATTAGGTTATTTCTCTGAATGCTATCCCTCCCCTATCTCCCCACCCCGCGACAGGCCCTGGTGTGTGATGTTCACCTTCCTGTGTCCATGTGTTCTCATTGTTCAACTCCCATTTAGGAGTGAGAACATGCCGTGTTTGGTTTTCTGTTCCTGTGTTAGTTTGCTGAGGATGATGGTTTCCAGCTTCATCCATGTCCCTGCAAAGGACATTAACTCATCCTTTTTTTTTTACGGCTGCATAGTATTCCATGGTGTATATATGCCACATTTTCCTTATCCAGTCTATCACTGATGGGCATTTTGGTTGGTTCCAAGTCTTTGCTATTGTGAACAGTGCTGCAGTAAACATACGTGCGCATATGTCTAGGGCCACTTCTAAAGTTATTTCAGTTCAGCCATTCTTCTGGTATCAGCATCCCAGGCTCACACTCTGTGCTCCTTTCAAGGGAGATGCAAGTAACTATTTTTTAACCATTCAACATTTTCAAAATCTGACTTGAACCTCTTACCCTAACAAGTGTGGCTTTTATTAAAACTGCTGAAATTTTAGTCTAGAATGTCACTGAAACTTCTACAGAATAAATGGCTATATTTCCATCATTTTACACCATGCATTCTTA
This sequence comes from Homo sapiens, assembly GCF_000001405.40. NCBI lineage: Eukaryota > Metazoa > Chordata > Mammalia > Primates > Hominidae > Homo > Homo sapiens. The sequence goes on from NW_025791768.1 coordinate 160,886, forward strand.
TGAGCATACATTGGGATATTGTTTCTAGATATCTAATTGATATGGTTTGGCTCTGTGTTCCCACCCAAATCTCATCTCAAATTGTAAACCCCATATGTTGAGGGAGGTAACTGGTGGCAGGTGATTGGATCATGGGAGCGGTTGCCGCCATATGATTCTCTCCAGATAGTGAGTGAGTTCTCTCACAAGATCTGATGGTTTAAAAGTAGCAGTTTCCCCGCAGTCTCTCTCTCCTGCCACCATGAGAAGATGTGCCTTGCTTCCCCTTTACTATCTGCCATGACTGTAACTTCCCTGAGGCCTCCCCAGCAATGCAGAACTGTGCATAAATTAAACCTATTGCCCTTGTAAATTACCCAGTCTCAAGTATTCTTTATAGTAATGTGAAAATGGACTAATACAGAAAATTGGTACTGGGAGTGGGGCACTGCCATAAAGATAACCTGAAAATGTGGAAGTGACTTTGGAACTGGGTAACAAGCAGAGATGGGAACAGTTTGGAGGGCTCAGAAGAAGATAAAAAGATCTGAAAAAGTTTGGAACTTTCTGGAAACTGGTTAAATGGTTTTGATAAAAATGCTGATAGTGATATGGACATTGAAGTACAGGCTGAGGTGGTCTCAGATGGAGATGAGGAACTTATTGGGAACTAGAGTAAAACTCACTCTTGCTATGCTTTAGCAAAGAGACTGGTGGCATTTCACCCCTGCCCTAGAGATCTGTGGAAGTTTGAACTTGAAAGATAATTTAGGGTATCTGGCAGAAGAAATTTATAAGCAGCAAAGCATTCAAGATATCACCTGGATGATTCTGAAAGTGTTCAGTCTTATGCGTTCACGAAGAGATAATCTGAAACTGGAACTTTTAAAGGCAAGCACAGCATAAAAATTTGGAAAATTTGCAGCCTGACTATGCAGCAGAAAAGAAAAACCCTTTTCTGGGAAGAAACTCAAGCTGGCTGCAGAAATTTGCATAGGTAACAAGGAACCAAATGCTAATCCCCAAGACAATGGGGAAAATATCTCCAGGGCATTTCAGAGACCTTCAAGGCAGCCCTTCCCGTCACAGGCCTGGCCTAGGAAGAAAAATGTTTTCATGGGCTGGGCACAAGACCCCACTGCTTGATACAGGCTTTGGATAAGACGTCCTGTGTCCCAGCCACTCCAGCTCCAGCCATGACTAAAAGGGGCCAATGTACAGCTCAGCCTGTTACTTCCGAGGGTGCAAGCCCCAAGCATTGGTGGCTTTCATGTGGTGTTGGGCCTGCAGGTATGCAGAAGACAAGAGTTCAGCTTTAGGAGCCTCCACCTAGATTTTGGAAGATTTATGGAAATTCCTGGATGTCCAGGCAGGAGTTTGCTTCAGGGGTGAATCCCTGATACAGAACCTCTACTAGGGCAATGCAAAGGGGAAATGTGGGGTTGGAGCCCCCACACAGAGTCCCCTCTGGGCCACTGCCTAGTGGAGCTGTGAAAAGAGGGCCACCATCCTCCAGACCCCAGAAACCAGACCCTGGAATGGTAGATCCACTGACAGCTTGTATCCTGCATCTGGAAAGGCTGCAGGCATTCAACACCAGCCTGTGAAAGCAGTCTCGGGCTGTACCCTGCAGAGCCACAGGGGCGGAACTGCTCAAGGCCATAGGAACCCACCTCTTGCATTAGCATGCCCTGGATGTGAGATATGGGGTAAAAGATTATTTTGGAACTTTAAGATTTAATGACTGCCTTGTTGGATTTTGGGCTTGCATGGAGCCTGTGTCCCCTTTGTTTTGGCCAATATCTCCCATTTGGAATTGGAACATTTACCTAATGCTTGTACCCCCATTGTATCTTGGAAGTAACTCACTTGTTTTTGATCTTATGGGCTCATAGGTGGAAGGGACTTGCCTTATCTCAGATGAGACTTCGGACTTGGACTTTTGAGTTAATGCTGGAATGAGTTAAGACTTTGGGGAACTGTTGGGAAGGCATGATTGGTTTTGATATGTAAAAAGGACATGAGATTTCAGAGGGGCAAGGGGTGAAACGATATGGTTTGGCTCTGTTTTCCCACCCGAATCTCATCTTGAATTGTAACCCCCATGTATTGAGGGAGGGACCTGGTGGAAGGTGATTGCATCATGGGGGTGGTTTTCCCCATGCTGTTCTCATGATAGTGAGTTCTCATGAGATCAGATGGTTTGAAAGTGGCAGTTTTCCTGTGCAGTCTCTCTCTCCTGCTGCCATGAAAAGATGTGCCCTGTTTTCCCTTTGCATTCTGCCATGATTGTAAGTTTCCTGAGGCCTCCCCAGCCATGCAGAACTGTAAGTCAATTAAACTTCTTTCCTTTATAAATTAACCCAGTCTCAGGTATTCTTTATAGCAGTGTGAAAACAGACTAATACACTGATGCTTTGAATTATATACCCTTTTTTAATTGGCGGTGATTTTTTTTAGTCTCCAGTTTGTCTTAAGACTTCACTGGGATCTTTTCCTCTCAAATCCTTATTTCTAGCCCATCACCTTGACTCACTATTATCCTACCCTAAAATTTTGTTTGTGGTTCTTCTTCTCTTACCTTTTATTCCTTTCTCTCTGGCCTGAAATTGTACTGTTACAACCAACATTCAAGAACCCATGGATTGCAGCCACATAGAAGTGTCCTGGTCCTTATTTTGCTTTCATTTTGAGACTAATTATTCAAGGAGTCAATTACAGAGGAAAAAAAAAACAGGGCATGAGGTTAAGATATCTATATTTTAAGGGATCTAATTTCTTGTAGTCCATAAGCAATAGTTTTACTACATCATCCATCATGTCCCACAAAAGGTAATAGGTGGAGTTATTAAATACACATTAAATACACACACATTAATCACATATATAATGCATTGAACATACAAGTATGCAAACAGAAAAGTTACAATATCTCATTCAGTAGTAAATACCAAACCTGATTTGTAGACATCCTATTGTATCTGAACCCATCCAAATGGGGCCATTTTGGAATCACACCTCATAGAATATCCCTACTGTTAACCCGAAAGAGGCAAAATCTTTATCTACTTTTGGTAATTTTATATCTTCCTCTTGAAAATTTTCTTCAGCTAGAAAGAAATTGGATTATTGTAAGGAAAAGTGGAAGGTTTTAACTCCACTGCTAAATAACTAGCTAGATATTGATAGGGTGACTCAGCTGAATACACTAATTTCAGCTGAATAGAAAGATCCAGATGGAGTTGTGAAGAAGTTTCATTCATTTCCCAGAGTTAGCATAAGGCTACTCAGCTCAGGATGGCAGATTTTATATTTAGTTTTGGCTAAGAAAATATTGGTCACATTTTGTGTGTTTTTTTTTTGTGGGATTGCTAAAGAAATGAACACTGTAGAGACCACCCTCTTTCTCTTAATTCCTAGAATATAAGAACAATAAAAAAATCTTAAAATCTGTAAAAAAATACAAATATATTTCAATTATTTATACTAAAGGGGTCATAACTTATAGTGAACTCAGATTTAGTGCACACACACACACACACCAAAACTTTTTCCCTATGAAATGCTTATTGAGTCCCTAGTGAAGCTCTTAGAATCAAATCTTATAAGCTTTAAGAGAGTTGAATCTACATCTACTGAGCCTGTCACTGTTTCTTCTTTCAGTAAGGAACAAGGGACAAGGGGTTCTGGTAAGTTTAGTGTAAACACCATGGGGGTGAGTTTTTTACAATTTGATTAAAAGTTTTATTGGTTTTTTAATATAGAATTGCTTGGGCAATTCACTTCTATTTCTCTGCAACTCAGATTTCCTATCTGAAAATGGAGAATAATAACTGATTCAATGTTGTGAGGATTATATTAGATGATGTCTATAAGCTGCTAACCTTTGCCTGGCCCTTGTGATAGATGCCCAAATATGCCTGGCCCTTTGTTTCTTTTTTCATCTCTGATGAACAAGAGTGTGAAGCTGAAACACCGAGGCTTAAAATGAAGAATATTCCATCTCTGGAAACCAAGAGCTCTCAAGATGTAATAAACCAGCTTTTATCCCTTGGGAGTAGTAGAAGTCATTGAAGGGTAAAGAAAGTTATGAAAAAGCCATGACCGTGGCACTGGGAAACTTAAATAGCTAATAACTAGAGGATGCATAAGCCACTCAAGACCCCAGGAAAGGAAGAAAATGAGGCTCTGTATTCCCTATGGTAAAGACGACAGGAAGTTCAGGGGCACTGTTGTGATTTTCCTTTAAGTCTCATGCATTCTGAGGAAGCCAGGGGAAAGTAGTTCTACTTTCTCCCCTTCTATCTGCCCTTGCTTGGTCCCCCTAGCCCTGAGGCAATTCTTTAGATAGTTGATTCAGACAAGATTAAGGATGAGCAGTGAATGGGTGCTCATAGGGCAATCTGACTGATAGCCTACTTCATGCTAACTCAGTCCAACAGTGTGTCAAACAACATTTGAGTTCAGGCTGATGGAAGGGGTCTGAATTCAGGAATTGGTAGATAGCAATATCATGGAGGCACTAGTCACAATTTGCTTAAAATAAATAACTTACAATATACATAAAATATGCTTTGGCCTATGCAATTCCAAAACTATTGAAGTATTCATATATCAGAAACTCTTTACCAGCTTCTCTTATGTATACCCAGCTGCCATTGTCTTCTGAAATACACTTCGATTGAGCACTGAATAGGCCAAAGCACCATTCTAGGTTCTAAGAGAGACAGTGAAAATAGGTAAATCATGACAGCTATTCAAAATATCTGTAACAGTAGGTTGCACTGTATAATTTATTCTTAATGCTTAGCAGATGTTCTATACATTGTAGATACTCAGTAATATTTGCAACAGAATGGAATAACCTCTTATGTTATTTATTGTCATAATAGATGGAGTAGTGTTTTCCTCCCAAATAATTATTACATCATAGAAGGCAAAGAAAAATCATAATGTTCATTCTGTATTCCTAGTGCCTTAGAGTTGATTGCATATTACATGCTCAATAAAAACTTTTTGTTTGGCTCTGAGGGACTATATCTCCTCAAGAGAAGAGCTATGGAAATGTCTATTGCTGCTTCTGACTCATCTGAAGGTACAAACAAGGGTGTGTCAGCTTAGCTTACATGAGAACTAGGTTCTAGGAGTCTTGGACATTTGTTTATCACTAATTCACAGCCAAAGTTATTCTTGATGTGTTTTGTTCTATATTATGTAACATACTTTATCCTTTGAATACAAAAAAAAAAACCAACAAATTTTTACTGAAGCCACGCCCTAAGTGACTTACCCATTTCAGAGGGCTATTTATTTTACAGAGGGCAATGAAAATCATGGCAATGTTTAGTGACTAGCTACTCACCAGCTCAATTAATGATTGATTAATTTAATTGGAAGATCTGTAAGCACTGAAGGTGAGTGAAGCAAGTTGTCTTGCTGGGATTAAGTTGTGCTTTAACACATGCATTGGGAGTAAATGGGAGAGGTGCAAAAGAAGGGTGCTCCACGTACCAGGAGAAAGGAGGATTGAAGCAAAGACTTGGAAGCAGAGATGAACATGCATATGAATAGGGCAATGACAATATCTAGCCATGTTTCAGGTGTTCGTTGTAGAGGCAAACACCTGAATCATACTCTAGTGTTTTTTGTTTGTTTTTTTTGTTTGTTTGTTTTTTGAGATGGAGTCTTGCTTTGTTGCCCAGGCTGGAGTGAAGTGGCACAATCTCGGCTCACTGCAACCTCTGCCTCCTGGGTTCAAGCGATAAGTGATTCTCCTGCCTCAGCCCCCTAGTAGCTGGGTTTACAGGCGCATGCCACCACACTCACCTAATTTTTGTATTTTTCAGTAGAGACAGGGTTTTGCCACATTGGCCAGGCTGATCTCAAACTCCCAACCTCATATGATCCACCCGCCTTGGACTCCCAAAATGCTGGGATTACAGGCGTGAGCCACTGCACCCGGCCCCTGTCATGGTTTTTAATCTTAATAAAACTTATCGTCAATCAGCTTTTAAATTCCTCTTTCTGTTCGTCCTCTGTCAGACCTCACTCAGTTTCCAACCCCTCCTAGAGAATTGCCATGGATTCAGAGATACATCTCTATTTTCAGGTGATAGTCATTTTAATTTTCATTGAGCATCTACCATGAGCCAGGCATTGCACATAAAATATAAGAGAAAATGCTCACTTTATGAAGTTCAGAGTCTATTGGGAGCGATGCAAGCAAGATGTCTTTGGCATATTAGCTAAAACATGGTAAAGCCTGATGTGTACTGAAAGAGAGCAAAGAAAGATGTGTATGTATGTATGTGTTTATGGAAGGGTTAGAGAGGGACAGTTTTTCTTAGATCCATCATGAATTTGATGAAAAACTTTCAGGAGAAAATGTTACCACAGGTGTTAACCAGGCAGAAATAAGAGAGAATAGTATTCTAGGCAACAGAAGCTTATGCACATGCAATTAGGAAGAAACTGAGAGTGAGGAGTGGATCTTCTTCTTTCTGTTTAACTTTCTGTATTACATCTTGGTTAGATGTCCATGAATATTTAGAAAAATATTGATAAGATATAAAGGACAACAATAGAATGATGACTCTGTATCCCTTGCACATTTTAAAAGTGGCCATTACTTTTGAACCCCATGGTGTCTTTCTCCCTTTTCCATCTCCTTCTCACTCCATTCAGGGAACACTGTTCTAATCTTTGTGTTTATTATTTTCTTGATTTTCTTTATCCATTGATGAAGACACCAAAAGCAATTACAACAAAGACAAAAATTGAGAATGAGATCTAATTAAACTTAAGAGTTTCTGCACAGAAAAAGAAACTGTCAAAGAGTAAGCAGACATCCTACAGAATAGGAGAAAATATTTGCAAACTATGCTTCTGACAAAGGTCCAATATCCTGCATCTCTAAGGAACTTAAACAAATTTACAAGAGAAAAACCAAACAACTCCATTAAAAACTGGACAGAGGACATGAACAGACATTTTTCAAAAGAAGACATACATGCAGCCAACAAGCATATGAAAAAAATGCTCAATAACACTGATCACTAGAGAAATGCAAATCAAAACCACAATCAGATACCATCTCATACCCGTTAGAAAGGCTATTATTAAAAGGTCAAAATTAACAGATGCTAGTGAGGTTGTGGAGAAAAAGGAACACTTATACACTGTTGGTAGGAGTGTAAGTTAGTCAACCATGTGGAAAACAGTATGGCGATTCCTCAAAGACCTAAAAGCGGAACTACCATTTGAGAAAGCAATACCATTTATATAACCAGAGGAATAGAATTCATTCTACCATAAAGACACATACGTGTGAATATTCATTGCAGCACTATTTACAATAGCAAAGACATGGAATCAACCTAAATGTCCGTCAATGACAGATTGGATAAAGAAAATGTGGTACAAATAGACCATGTAATACTATGCAGCCGTAAAAAAGAATGAGATCATATCTTTTGCAGGAACATAGATGGAGCTGGAGGCCATTATCCTTAGCAAACTAACTCAGGAACAGGAAACCAAATACTGCATGTTCTCACTTAGAAGTAGAAGCTAAATGATGAGAACTCATCAACTGAATATAGGGGGCAACAAGAGACATTGGGGCCTACTTGAGGGTGGAGGGTGAAAGGAACAGGAGCAGAAAAAATAATCATTGGGTACTAGGCCTAATACTTGGGTGATAAAATAATCTGTACAACAAATTCCCGTGATGCGAATTTACCTGTATAACAAACCTTCACATGTACCCCTAAACCTAAAATAAAAGTTAAAAACAATTACCACACATGTTCCTATCTTTTAAAAATATATTGTTCAGACCGTAATCCCAGCACTTTGGGAGGCTGAGGTGGGTGGATCACCTGAGGTCCAGAGTTCAAGACCAGCCTGGCCAACATGGTGAAAACCTGTCTCTACTAAAAATACCAAAAATTAGCTGGGCATAGTGACTGGCACCTGTAATCCCAGCTACTCAGGAGGCTGAGACAGGAGAATTGCTTGAACCCAGGAGGCAGAGGTTGCAGTGAGCCGAGATTGCGCCATTGCACTCCAGCCTGGGCAACAAGAGCAAAACTCCGTCTCAAAAATATATTTATATATAGTTCAATTTTCCATTCAGTTGGAAATTTATATAAGTGGAATCATACTATGTATATTTGTTTGCTTCACTTTGTGATTTCTCCATATTTTTGCATTCCATTAATATATTACAATATATTCATTTTAATAGGATGCCTATTTACATTATTTCTACCATGGAACTATCACATCCAATGCTGCTATGAATATTCTAAGACATATTTCTTCATGCACATATGTAAGAGTTTCTCCTATGGAACATGTGTATGAGTAGAATTTGGGCTCAAGTTTGTGTGCATGTCCAACTGCACTGGACCGGGTAATGCCAAAATATTTTCTAAACTGGTCATATCAGTTTACAACCCCATCATTAGTTTAGAGAGGGTTTATGGGTAACAAAATTACACTTTTTGTTTGTTATTTCTCGTTATTGAAAGATATACTCAGTTTGTGTACAACTCCACGTTGACAGTTACTGCCCATCAGATACAGAATATTTTATTATACTATACCCCAGTTTTTATTTTCGCAGTTGAGAAATCAGCTATCATTTCAATAATCGTTCCTCTGTAAGTAATCTGCCCTTTGACTATGGCTATTTCTAGAGTTATTTCCTTGTCTTTGTTATTTAGCACTTCACTATAGTACAAAATACATATGCGATTTTCCTGAAATTATTGACTTTTACCGTTAACAGTTCTAGAGAAATCTCAGGCACTCTGTCTTAAAACATAGTTCCTTTAGATTCCTTGTCTATTCTAAAATATGCCTGGCATTTTATATTTTCTTACACTTAAAATTTAATTTATGAGTATATTAAATATACTTATTTTGTTCAGTATCTCATAATTCCTAAAGTTAAAATAGTTGTACACCTGATTCTATGATCTGTTGTTTCTGCCTGTCCTCATTCCAATGCCTTGTTTTCTTGTGTGTGTTTTGTTAATTGAATGAGGTTTCTGAGATCAGATGGTTTGTGTTTGCTTCTGTGAGTGCGTGGGATATTATTCCAAATTTGTACTTTTTATTATCTATTACGTTGTACTACAAAAAATAGAATTCTTGAAAATGATAAAGCTCATAGCAAAGAGTGGTGTAAAGGGTCATGGCCTGCTGAAAATATGACACATTATTCTGTAAGTAATTGACAGCCTTTTAAGAGTTTTAAAGAGAGGAAATAAATGGCAAGGTCATTATTTGTGTTTTAGGTAAATTTTCTGGGTTAGAATATAGACAGTAATATAGACAGTAGATTTAAGACAGGGTAAAGACACAGATACGATTAAGTACGTGGCTGTTTACTGTGCTATGTCTGGCAAGAAGTGATGAAGCCTAAACTAGGGCAGTAGAGGTAAAATAGTAATGGGGGAAAGGGGAATGAATTTGGGAAATACGAAGAGGTAAAATAAACAATATTTGCTGATGCACTGGAAGATGATCCAGAAAAAAAGACAGGCAGAGTCTCAATAACTCTCAAATTCTTGGTTTGGGGAAATGGCTGTATAATATGGCCATTCACAGAGTAAGAGTAGGAAGATAGAGGTTTCTGCCCCTCATCTGAAACTTCTTAGATTAGTTTAAACCTTTGAGGCAGATCTGGGGCATTGAAATGCTGTAACTAGCAGGCCTTGCTTATTTATTTTTCTACAAATATTTATGTTCGTATATGCCAGGCTCTGTGCTGTCAGTCTGATGCTCAGGATATTGGTCAGGGATATAGATATAGATTTGGAAATTATCACTACAAACATTGTAGGTAAAACCAAGAGTATTATGAGGTGGACTAATGAGCATTTCTTTTTCTTTATTTAATTTTACTTTAAATTCTGGGATACACGTTCAGAACGTGAAGGTTTGTTACATAGGTATACGTGTGCCATGGTGGTTTGCTGCACCCACCAGCCTGTCATCTAGGCTTTAAGCCCCACATGCATTAGGTATTTGTCCTAATGCTCTCACTCCCCTTGTCCCCCAGCCCCCGACAGGCCCCAGCGTGGGATGTTCACCTTCCTGTGTCCACGTGTTCTCATTGTTCAACTCCCACTCATGAGTGAGAACATGTGGTGTTTGGTTTTATGTTCCTGTGTTAGTTTGCTGAGAATGATGGTTTCCAGCTTCATCCATGTCCCTGCAAAGGACATGAGCTCTAATGAGCATTTCTTGAGAGAGAAAAGCAGCATTTAAGTGACAGAATCGTGGGAATGCTGAAGTTTTCATCGTTCTATGGAGCAAGAATCTGAGAAGGAAAGCCTACTAGGGTAGTAAGTGCAGATAGAAAGATGAGAGTGGAATTATAGTAATAGAAGCCTGGGAAGTATAGGCTTTACAAATGAAAGAATGAAGAAAATAAATATGAACAATGTAAAATAAGTCATTATAATGTATAAAATTTCACAGAGAAGTCCAAAAATATGTTATAAAAATATTTTGTCAATATGAAGCCCATCGATAATTTTAGTTAAAGCAAGATTCAATGGGATGGTGGAATCAGAAACTATCGGGTTATATTGAGAACTGAGGATACAACAGAACAGATGGATACAACCACTAGAAATTTAGTTGAAAATGTAAGGAGAAAGAACTAGCAGCTTGAGATTTTAAAATGATCTGGGGAAGATTTTCTTTTTCAAAAAATATTAGAAATTTGAATATATTTACAACCTCTGCTGGAAAGATAATAAAAATAGGCTGGTGGTAAAGAAAGGAGAAGGGAAAATATGAAATACTATTCAAGATGAGAAGGAATGAGGATAAGAATGTAGCTGGAGTCGATAAGTAGGATACCCTGCCATCTAAAACGGAGATCACATTTGTAGAAAAGAGAGTGGAAAATTGAGGAAGGTGCTGGGTATGGTGGCTCATGCCTGTAGTCCCAGCACTTTGGGAGGCTGAGGCGGGTGGATCACAAGGTCAGGAGAGTGAGACCAGCCTGGCCAAGATGGTAAAACCCCATCTCTACTAAAAATACAAAAATTAGCCTGGTGTGGTAGTGCACGCCAGTAGTCCCAGCCACTCAGGAGGCTGAGGCAGGAGAATCATTGAACCCGGGAGGCAGAGGTTGCAGTGAGCCGAGATGGTGCCACTACACTCCAGCCTGGGCTTCAGAGTGAGACTCTGTCTCAAAAAAAAAAAAAAAAAAAGGAAGTTGAGGAATTTTACACTTGACCAGCACTAGATGCTTCGGCTGTATTTAAATGATGTCATAAACTGGTCAGTATCATAATAATTATTGAGAAAATAGCTAACATATTTGAGTAGATACAATATGGCAAGTAATGCTGTATGAAAGTGCATGCATTATCTCACTTAATCCTTATACCAACTTTAGGAGGCAGCAGCTCCTTCTCTTCTTTTTCTCTTTTACATGATGAAGTAAATGAGGCACCCAATTTTAAATAATTTTGAATAAATTATTACATTTATTTAAATTTCAAATAAATGACCCAATGCCACAGTTAGTAAGGAGAAGAGTCAGAATTTGACCTCAAGCGATGTACTCCAGGATAGGGCTCCTGAAGTTTTCCATACATTATCTCATTAAATTCTCAGATTAGTTCTGGAAGATATCTATTGTTGTTTCCCCAAACTATTCCTGCCTCAAGTATGCCTCAGCAGGAAACAGTTTCTTGTAACCCAGAGGTTATGGATCTTCTAGATTTTAGGGAAGAGACAGTGAATGATGACTGCTAGTAGTGAACACCAGCGCATCATTGCTTTGGGCTTTTTCCACTGCCCAGGAATCAGCTCTTTGAGGGTCAAAAGGAACCTGATCACTCTGGATGGAAGGTGCTAGAAGGAAGCAAATGGAAGATAGCCTTTGGGAAGGATCCTGTTAAAAGGAAAGCAATACAGTGGGAGTGAGCAACATGTAACTGAAATAGAAAATTCTAGGTAATAAATACCGGTGGATTTGTGCAATGACGTTTTTTTCAGAATGAATAATAAATTATATGTTTTGCCTCCCACATACAGATGGTATAAATGTTTTAATTACTGAGAAGTTGATGTAGCGATTTAAAAAATGTTTGAATAAAGAAATTGTCATTTTACCATGTCAATAAAGCAATTGGTTTCATCATTGTATATTATATATGTATAGTTAATGTAAAAGAAACATTTCATTGTCTACTTGTATTAAAATATTAACATAAACATTCCCCTGTAGCATGTTAGTATCTTTTCAATGACTTTATTATACCCCATCAAGTAAATGTAAGTTTATTATTAGTCATTTTGGCTATTTTCTTTTTTACTATTGTAGCTAATGCTGTGATGAACATGTCCATTTATATAACCTCCTGCCTCTGTTGAATGAATTCCTTAGGTTAGATACTCATGGAAACATTGGTTAGATTACATGGTATTAACCTTTGAAGTTTTTGCTGCAGACCAGATCAATTAAATATTTAATTTTTTATTCAACTGATGTCAAGTGTTTTAATTTTTTGCTTCCTCTTGGAAAGACACTCCATGTATCTTACTCCTTTTTTGGATGCCAGGAGTTGAGAGTTCACACGCTAACCTATTATGATAAAGAATTTCTGAGACTAAAGCAGAAGCAAAGAAGAAATCAAAAGAAGCAGAACCTTTGTAATTCATCTATGTTGGCACTCCTCCCATATATTTCTCTCATTATTTTCTCCCCTCACACACATACACCTTTCCAGTACCCTAGATGTTCTTAGGTGTGGAAGATGGGATTGCAGAAGCTCTTCTTCAGCTCCCAGGCATGATAAAGATCAGGTACTTAATTTATAAGTAAGTGAATGACTGGGGGAATTTATAGATGGGGAACATTTTTCCTTAGAAGTTTCCTTGTTGAAACAATGTAATTTCCCTTGGAGGTTTTGTCATATTCTACCATGATTTTGATGGTATATTGATGGTATATTTCTCCTAGGAAATTCCACCCTTTTAAAGTTAAACACAAATCAGTCACTTTGTGTAGCAGAGATGGGCTCTTCAATTCCATTTTCTCTTGTTCCATAATACTGGAATTTCTTCTTTTTCCTAGTTGACTGAGTGAATGTAAACAATTCACTGAAGGCCCGAAGGAAGGCCCTTAAATATGGTGGCTACACAAGATGGGAAGAATCAGGACTCAGGAATATGCCTCTAATGTGTTAAGCCACAGAGATTAGAGTGGCAGTTTCAGAGTTGTTGTTCACGATCCTGACTGATACACTTTATACAGTGATGAGAATAAATCCACAGGACTTTGCTGAACACCTCAAGATAATCATCCCTAAGGTAGAAGGTTGAAGCAAATCTTTAGAAAGCTCAGAATCTGGGCCCATGTCTCTGGCTTTTTTGCTCAGTGCCAAGGGTACAGAGCTATAGGCATAATGAAGTTGTCATTTATTTCCAAAGTACCTGAAGGATCTGGGGTGTAGTATTCTGAATATGCATTGATAATTCTGCCTA